>NT_167248.2:4314410-4606388 GCF_000001405.40 Homo sapiens
TCAGAAGTTGATACTTGTAACTTTTACTGCTGTGGGGGTTGAAAGAAGAACTGTGTAGGGCCCTTCCCAGCCTGGCTTAGGGAAGGAGAGAGAGATGAGTTTTCACCAATACCAAATTTTCTGGCTAAGTAAAGGTGGTCCAATTTCCTGGGGTTGGCCTTTGGCTAGTTGTGTCAATTTCCGTTGGAAGTGAGCTAGAGAGGTTACATTTTTAAACAACTTAGAGGTTTTCTGCCTGAAAACAATCTCTGAGCACACTGATGATAAGTTTTATCCTTTCCTATGTGAAAAAGCTTGGTGAAGGATTTTAAGGACTTTCCATTGACTGGAGGCCAGTAAATGGAGTTTGTCATCCTCAGGGCTGGAATACCCTTAAGAAGTGGCTTATTTTATTTCTGCAGGGGAATACTGAGGTTTAATTTCTTTTATGGAGGCTTCGGAGATTAAAAGGGCTTGAAGTGTGTTAATGCCTTGAGGCTTCCCTGCCGCCTGCTTAGCTCCCTGCTCAGCTAACCTATTTCCTTTGGCTACTTCATCTGTTCCCCTTTGATGTTCCCTATAATACATTACTGCTATTTTTCATGAAAGGAAAACTGAGGATAATAACCTGTTAATTTCCTGGTGATATTTTATAGGAGATGCTTTAGTGGTAAAAGAATGTCTTTCCTTTTAAATAGCAGCATGAGCATGGAGAACTAAGAAAGCATACTTGGAGTCAGTGGAAATGTTAGCTATCTTTCCCCTGCTTAATTTAAGTGCACTTGCAAGAACTATTAGTTCAGCTAATTGAGTGCTTGTGTCTGGGGAGAGACATTAGAGTGACTATTGCTTGTCCTGCCTTACGTATTTCTTGCTTTACCTGCTGTTTGTTAGCTAAAGTCTCCCCTAGAGGACAGTAATCCTGCTACATTATGTGGGGTGTAAACAGTTAAATTATTTCCTAGGGTTAATTTGGAGGCTTTTTTGACTAGTAGAGCCACCGTGGCAATGGCTTGGAAGCATGTGTAAACAATAGGTCCTCCTAACTGCAATTAGGAGGTTGAGAAAAATATTGGAATAGAGTTTTTCCTGAGACACCCCTTACACTCACGCTATGGGAAGAAGAGAGGCCTGGATTAAAGAGGAGAAAAGAGAGAGAGACTGGCTCGAGTGTTTAGAAGGAGGTCTACTTTCCTTCCTTCAATTTCCAGAATCACCTGGTGGCTCCCGTGCTGTAATGGCAGTTTGAGCCACTGGAGCTGGGGTTTGAGCCCCGGGACCCATCAGTCCTGCTGGACCATCTGTGAGACTGGTTCTGACTCCAGTGACCTCCGTCTCCGGGGACAGTTTGATTTCCAGTGGTCTCCACCACAGGCTGGATAGGGTTGAGGTGGCTTCCTCTTGCTGTTTGGGCACTCCTTTTTAAAATGCCCTGGCTTGCCACACTGATAGCAACTAGCGGATGCACCTCAGAAATCTTGGACTTTGCAAGCTTGCAAAGCTGCTACTAGAGCCTCTGTCTTTCTCCTGAGCTTTCTCTCTTTCTGGGGGGCCTCCTCCTGGTCCCTATTATAAGTGGCCACCCTCAGGAGGTTCCCCAAGGTGCTATCTGGTCCTATAGCGTGCTTCTACAGTTTCCTTCTAATATCAAGAGCTGCCTGTGTAATAAACTTGTCTTTACAATGAGCCATCCCTTGACTGAATTAGGGGCTAAGGAAGTGTGCTCTATTAGTGCCTCTCTCAGCCTTTCCATAAAAGCTGCAGGATTCCCATCTGGCTTTTGGTCTATCATAGACAGTTGAGAGGAATTAAGAGGTCAGGCCTTAGTTCTTCATAGACCCTCTAATATGCATATTTTAAAAATGCTTCCATTTCTATTCATTTGCAGAGCTACTGGGGTCCCAGTTGGGGTTGTCGAGAGGAACTGCTTCCCTTCCTACTGGGAATGGTGTTTCTGCTATTTTTTTCACTTTCCCTATCTCTTTTCTTCCCTTTTGGTGTATTATAGGAGATATGTTGCTCATCTCCAAAATTATCTGCTGCCTGCAGAGCTGCCTGCTTTTCAACTGCGGTTAGAGTTTGGTTTAGGAGCAGCATAACATCCTTCCATGTGAGGTGAAACACCTGAGTTAAATTCTGGACAGCTTCTATATACCTATTGGGGTTATCAGAAAATTAGCATAAGTCTTCCTTTGTTTGCCTAAGGTCCTGTAATGAAAAGGGAGCTTGAGGTTGAAGGGGGCCAGCCCCTCCACACCTGTGGGTATTTCTCATCAGGTGGGACGAGAGACTGAGAAAAGAAATAAGACACAGAGACAAAGTATAGAGAAAGAACAGTGGGCCCAAGGGACCAGTGCTCAGCATACAGAGGACCTGTGCCGGCTCTGGTCTCTGAGTTCCCTCAGTATTTATTGATCACTATCTCTATCATCTCAGTGAGGGGGATGTGGCAGGACTATAGGGTAATGGTGGGGAGAGGGTCAGCAGGAAAACATGTGAGCAAAGGACTCTGTGTCATAAATAAGTTTAAGGAAAGGTGCTGTGCCTGGATGTGCACATAGGCCAGATTTATGTTTGACTTTACACAAACATCTCAGTGCAGTAAACAGCAGTATTACCACCAGCATGTCTCACCTCCAGCCATAAGGCGGCTTTCTCCTATCTCAGTAAATAGAATGTATGATCGGGTTTTACACCGAGACATTCCATTCCCAGGGATGAGCAGGAGACAGATGCCTTCCTCTTATCTCAACTGCAAAGAGGCCTTCCTCTTTCACTAATCCTCCTCAGCACAGACCCTTTATGGGTGTCAGCCTTGGGGACAGTCAGGTCAGGTCCCTTCCCACAAGGCCATATCTCAGGCTGTCTCTCTCAGTGGGGGGAACCCTTGGACAATACCCAGGCTTTCTTGGGCAGAGGTCCCTGCGGCCTTCCACAGTGCATTGTGTCCCTGGGTACTCGAGACTGGAGAATGGCAATGACTTTCACCAAGCATACTGCCTACAAACACATTTTTAACAAAGCACACCCTGCACAGCCCTAAATCCATTAAACCTTGAGTCAATACAGCACAGGTTTTCTGCGAGCACAGGGTTGGGGCTAGGGTTACAGATTAACAGCATGTCAAGGCAGAAGAATTTTCCTTAGTACAGATCAAAATGGAGTTTCTTATGTCTTCCTTTTTCTACATAGACACAGCAACAGTCTGATTTCTCTTTACTTCCCCCATATTGGCAACCCTAAATAAGGGGAATTCTCAGATGGTTCCCTTGGAAATTGCCTTTCTAATTCTGGGGGATTATTTTCTATAGGCCTACCTGATATGCCTATTTAAAAAGCTGGGCTGATCTTACAATGCTTGCAAAGGTTTAGTAAAAAAGCCATGCCCTTGTGCAAAAGAAAATGAGTCACTTTTCTCTTCAAAGTCCTGAGGTTAAAGGAGTTCCAGTGTTTCAGAGTGCACTCCAGAGGGGTGCAAGCTGAAGCTGGTCTGTCACCCATCTAGAAAAAGAAGTGAGAATAAAAGTATCCTTTCGTCCCCATTCTTTCATTGTGACCCAGGGTGGAGGAGAAGACAGTGGAAGTGTCCTCCCTACTGTTTTCTCTCCTTGGTTCCTGGGTCCTGGCAACGTGTTAAATGTACCACCCATGGTTGTAGGCGTGGTCCTCCAAGCCGTGGAACTGGATAAACTAAGTGATGGGATTAACCATACTTTACCCACACAACCTTAGCTTATCCACCTTATGTGATCCCCTTTGACGTCCTAAATTTGTGTGATCTGCCTGGCTCCCAGAAAAATGGATCTCCAGAGAGACTATGTCATCTTTGGGTAGGCTCCTTTAACGGAGGCAGTGTGCTAGATTGCCTGCCATTACGGCCCATGCTAAGACATTTACCCTTAGCAAAATGGCTCTGGTTAACTTCCGAACCTAAAATCCCCTTGCTAATTAAGTACTATCCTAATTGGAGACAGAAATGAACGTAGGAATCTAATGGCTGTTTTTCCTGCTGATGAGACAGTATCAGAACTAAAATTTCACTACAGAGGACATTTTACTCCTAACTGTTGAAGACAGTGCTTTCTCGTTCACAGAAGAGGCTTTTCTAGCGGCACGAAAGAATTTGGAAGCTGCAGTGTTACGGTAAAAAACCGACAAGGTGCCTGATGAAGAGGATTTCTATTTCCACTAGGTGGTGCTGTTGGCTTAGCACTACCATGTGCTCGCCAGAGAGGATAGAGAGTAACAGTTACTGCCTGTGGCATTTGCCGATCTTCCCTAACAGGAGTGTTTCCCTGAACTGTAAAACTTCCCGCAAATTGCACACAGAGAGAGAGAGGACAGGAGACACAGTGACCACGGATACAAAGGAAAGGAAAATTTTGCAACGGGATAGCTGGAGATGCATTACCAACACCTGGACAGGCTGTCGGAGGCTGCGTTCAGTCCAGAAGCCTTTGAATAACACCAGGGTGTGCCCTGGCCAGAAATTTTCAGTTGCCCCAAGACTTTTCCCAGCCTCATGCGATGGTGAAGTTCTCCATGAAAGGAAACTGGTATGAAGAGATCCTTGAGATTAAAGAACAGATTTGACGTTTGCTCTATACTCACCACTCCGATGTTTCTATCTTCCATTCTGATTTGGATCCCAGATGAGCTCCCAAAATGAAACAGCTCCACTGTCTAGGGTATATACCCTGGTTCTTTACCATAGCTGAAAAAGAATTCACAGCACGGACACACACAAGGAGTGGGTTTAGGAGCGGAAAGTTTAATAGAAAAGAGGAGTGAGAGGAAAAGCTTCCTAATGCTGATAAGGCAGGTCACCCAAGAGAGGGTCTCCTGTTTCTGGTGGAAAGCAATTGGTTTTGTACAGAGGCTTGAGGAGGCAGTGATTGACTTACATAGGGCTCAGGGGATTGGTTTGACCAGGTGTGTCATTTACATAACCTGCAAAAAGACTGGCCCTCCCACCCTAGTATTTTATTATACAAATGAGGCCTCCACCTGGTGGCGGCCATGATACCTGTACTCGTGCTTTAACCTGGAGGCTGCCTCGACACCTGTAAACGTAGAAGGAAAAGAGGGTGAGAACAGCAATATTGAATTACCTGGCTTCCAGGAACAGCTGCCAGCATTTACATAAAAGCTTCTAGTTTGCATATCTATGCCTGAGTTTTCAGGCTGCTTTCTGTTAGAGAAAAAATGGTTTGGGGCTGCTTTTTATTAAAGGAAAATTCCACCAAGAACTTTTACCCTTTTTAGCTGCCTAAAAATAATCTCTTAATAACTCGTGTATTAATTTGGCCAAGAGAGAAATCCCGTGAAGGAGACCAAAAAGCACTAGTGAGCCTCTCACTAAACAAGGACCTTTGTCCTAGAGAAAGAGGAAAGAATGAAGGGGGAGGAGGAGGAGGCTCAGGAGGTCACACCATTGATCCCTCTGTTCCTGGGAAAGTGAAAGGAAGGTCATCTGATAAGATGGAGAAGATGCACACATTGAGTAAGGATGAGGAGAGTGACATGGGTTTAGGAAAGTTGCTGGCGTAATTGGTTGAGAGAGGTGTCCAAATAAAAGTAATACAATTTGCAAAATCTGTCACTAAGACTTCATAGAGGCCCAAATCAGCGACATGGCAGCATTTTCTTTCATGGTAATCAGCTGCCAGATTGCAGAGACCCCCTGATGCCAGACTAAGGAGTGTGGATTTCTCCTCTAGGCCAGCAGGTCCCCAACCTCACTGCTCAGAAGACTCTCCTTGAGATCCTCTGTGAAGCAAAGATTCCCCCAGACTCACTGCCTAGAGATTCAGATTCCCTGGGTGGGGAGGTCTGGAGATCTGTGTTTTTAATCAGCTCCCAAGTGATTCCCATGTAACCAGATATGTGTCAGAACACTGAAGATTTTTGAAAATCTTCAGAAATCTTAAAATGACAAGGCTGGAAATCTGTTTTCAGAAGACTGTAAAGTCAGTTGGAGAGAGCAGGAACCAGAGGCAGGGAGATGAGATAAGAAACTGCTATTATTGTCCAGGGAAATGATAATAAGGGCATGAATTAGAATAGAGAAAAACACAGGGGTAGGGGAGATGGAGGAAAGAGGAGGATAGAAGTTCTGGCCATTCCAGTGTGGATGCCCACCCAAATCTAGAAGTAACTGAGCAAAGGCAACTAGAACAAACAGGAATCCTTGCCTTGGTGAAATATATTTGAACTGGGTCAGAAATGAGGCCACTGGGTATCAAGCCTTAGCTGCAGCGCCCCCTGGAGGTCTCTGATGTGCTCCAGGCTGACCAGCTCCCGTCAAAGAAGATGGAGCAAAGTGCTTCTCATTGAATGTTCTGGGACCTTAAAACAGACAACCATATATCCCATGACTTTCATGCTTCCCAGGACACCTATGGGGAAGAAGTTCCACTTAATCTACAGTTGGGATTCAGACATGGGTTGACCAGTCTGATGGACGTTGAGTTTATGGAGGTGGTTGAAGTAGAACGAGAGCCAAGTGCCTCTGAAATAAAATCACATCGAGGGAAGAGGCTGTGAATGTGAATAATCCTGGACACAAGGCAAAAATACCATAGGGAGTAAGGGTTGTGGGTTAGTTCAAGACTAACCCCCATGTTCATTTACCTGGCCCAGGCCCATGTCAGTGTATTTGTGTTCTCAAGAACAGAGTAAATAAGGACCTAGAAGCTCTGATTTGGAACATTCCTGTAATTGAGCTGTTCTCTAGGGGCAGTTGGCCCTTTTCTGCCTTCTGTGGAGGAAAAGGGTACTAGTGGCTGAGGTCCAAAGAAAAAGCTGCAGGTGGTAGCGTGGAAATTGATCTGTAAGCGGCAGAAAAAGAGGGGGCAAAAATAGAGAGGTGCCAAGGCACAGCCAACACCTGGTTATCTGAGAACCTCAATGGATGTGACAACACAGTGCAGAGGAGGAACTTAGGGAAAAGGATGGGATTTCTACTATTTAAGCATGTAGGGGCTCAGGATATTATGTAAATAGGATGATTTTGAGTGTTTGTAGGCGAGGCCAAAAAATCCATAGGTTACTTGCAGAATAAGTCATGTCAAGCTCACTTTATTTTCTTGATATATTTATGAAATATAGTTATTGGATTAATAGACCATGAGAATGTCGTTTATATATATATTAATTTCAAGAAACTATTTGAGCAAATTTTTCATCTTTTGCATCAGGATAGAGCACTCAAAAGATAAGGTAATATCGCTGCTGATTAAATATTCTTTGTCCAAAGGCTGTTAATCAGTGGCTGATAGATAAGATTTCTTTTAAATGTGCTACAAACTGGTAAGTTTGTGTGCCTCCTATTCTTCTCAATACTATTTCTATAGTTTCAGTACTCCCCTTATCCGCTGACCTAATCACATCATTCCTACTTTTTTTTTTTTTTGAGACGGAGTTTCACTCTTGTTGTCCAGGCTGGAGTGCAATGGTGCGATCTTAGCTCATGCAACCTCTGCCTCCGGGGTTCAGGCGATTCTCCTGCCTCAGCCTCCTGAGTAGCTGGGATTACAGGCATGCACCACCACACCCAGCTAATTTTGTATTTTTAGTAGAGACAGGGTTTCTCCATGTTAGTCAGGCTGGTCTCGAACCACCTGCCTCAGCCTCCCAAAGTGCTGGGATTACAGGTGTAAGCCACTGCGCCTGGCCATCATTCCTATTTTCAACATCTAAAAATCAATTCCATAATGAGCATGTCTAAGAAATAATAATCTCAAATGCTATTCCACTTTTCCACTTCGCCACTCCTAGTCCAGCCTAGGGTGAACATCCCCCCTCCAAGAAGGAGCCCCGGCAGCACCACCACCTGCTTGTCTACCACGTGACAGATTTCTACCCAGGCAGCATTCAAGTCCGATGCTTCCTGAATGGACAGGAGGAAACAGCTGGGGTCATGTCCACCAAGCTGATCCGTAATGGAGACTGGACCTTCCAGATCCTGGAGATGCTGGAAATGATCCCCCAGCAGGGAAACATCTACACCTGCCAAGTGAAGCACCCCAGCCTGGACAGTCCTGTCACCGTGGAGTGGAGTGAGGGTCTGATGACCCTCTAGACTCCACCTCTGAAGAGCAGGGGACTCTCTGGCTCTGGGGTCCACTCATCTGGTTTTATGTGTCTATACCCTGGGACCATGTCCGACCCCATTTTTCTTCTATACAAGACCCTGAGTGTAGTTTTAACCTGGGGACAATGGAGACTTGCCTGCCCCCGGCCTAGGAGGTCCTAAGGATTCATAGTTCCTCTCCTTGTCCAAGAATCTAGGGATGCAGACACCTTCCTGAACTGACCTTACACATGGGAACTGTTGTCTTCCTTCAGCCTTTTAGCTTATTCTAAGTTATTTTGAGAGGCAACTAATTGAATCTGAATTTGTCTGTTGTTGAGGTCACACCCTCTGTTCTAGAATTGAGAGAGTGACTGTTTCTCAATTTCCTGTCATGCAAGGTGTATTCCCCTCGCTCTCCTCGTGCCAATATTCTGCATCAGGCTGCAGGATCTCAGACAGGACATGAGCAGGGGTGCAGCTGCTGGAGGTGACTCTGAACCTAAGCCTGTTCTTCCTAGAGGCACAGTCTGATTTTGTGCAGAGCAAGATGCTGACAGGAGCCAGGGGCTTCATGCTGGGGCTCATCATCTGTGGAGTGGACATCTTCACGCACAGAAGGAGCAAGAAAGGTGAGAAATCCTGTGAGGTGACCGATACCCACCTTTCTCCTGACTTGCTCACTCTTCTTCCATGATGAGGGGCTGAGACAAAAAAGCAATGCCAGAGAGCTTGCTGAAATCACATAGTCAGGAAACAAAGACAGCTTCTAAGGAGAGAGGAATCCCAGCCTGGCATCTTAATGCAGCCAGATGCATAAGGTCCCAGTTACTCAGGCTCCTGCAGAGCGTCCATTGAGTGATGGGCAATGGAAGTGTGATGGAAACGTTTCTCTAATTGTCTGAGGTGGTTTCAGTAGCTGAATACATTCTCTTTCTTCCTTTCATTTCAGTTCAACAAGGATCTGCATAAACAGGCAATATTCCTGCTTTGATTTCCTTGTTGGGGGAGTTACAGGAGGACATAAGTCCTTTCTGTACATTGTGACACTGAGCTCCTCTAGGAAGAGAGTCTCAGGCCTGAACCCCTGTTTCAACCTCAGCCCTGGGGTGAGTGGGGAAAGAGCATTGCATGGCTCCATTGCTAAAGGAAGCTCAGATCAACTCTATTCTTTATCAGCCTGAGATTCAGCCTCTCACCGTTATTTTTCTCTCCTGGGACTTAAAGGAAGGGGGCCAGCAACCTGGGATTACTGTTTTTTACCTCCACAGGGTTGCTGACCTTGCCTAAAAGACTAATGTACCTTGGAACAAGCATTTTCTGTTTCTTTAGTCCCAGTATCTGCTTCGAGGACAGACCCCCAGCCTCCCAAGAGGATGCTGCTGCTGAGTAGTTGCACTGAAGCCAGTTTCTATGATTCTGTTCCTGGATTCAATGCATGATTTCTCTCATGGGGCCTCCAACCAAGTTCCTTTCTCCTTAGTGCCATGAGTAATCAAAACCCAACATGATTGTTTTCTGTTAAGAATATACACCAAGTCATGTCTCATCACTTTTTTTTCTTGAGGGTTTTAGCAAACAGTAAGAGTTAATAAAGAAGTTCATTGTGGTTTAGACATAAGAAAGAAGAAAACCATGAAAATCCATCCAAACTATTGTATAAGGTGGCCTGTTGGACATAGACCTCTCCTGGATTTACTATATTTCAGTGAGCTGCCCCATCCTCATGTTTGGTGTCTTCATCCATTTAGGTCTGAAACCACTATTCTTAGCTATTCAGTGGTGAACAGACTGCAAATCTGTGTTATAGGGCCCATATTAACATAGCACTGATTCAACATATAACTTACTAAGAGCATGTTTTAGCATTACTGTTAAGAAATTAAATAAGCATCAGAATTTAAAACGATAAATATAATCTAACACACTTTCAACACTTTCTTTGCATGCCATCACAAATACTCCTTAACCAAATGTTGCTTGGCCTTTTGAATGCATCAAGTAGACGACATTTATCCTCTAAGTCTGCATTCATTCACCAGCCTAGACCTCCTGAGCTAATAATTCATACAGTGAGAAACGCCTCCCCATTGTTGAAAGTGCAAAGCAATAGGTGTGGCACTCTTTCAAACACTGATCTTTTTTTTACAATCCAAAATTTTTATGTGTTTTGCATTTCATATTAAGTTACTGTAAATCAAGGTAGAAGACATGTTTGGTCTAAGCTTTCCTTTTCGTGTAGAGGATGGATTCTTAACTCCTGATACACATAATGAGCACTCAGTGGCTCTCTGATACATCCAGTTGTTGGCTTCCTTCTCCCTGACTTCTCACAAGCAGCTTCTGGGCCTTGTGTGCCCCTGGGCGCCTATCCCTGGTCAGTTTACCAGAGCTACCCGTGTTCCTCTCACTATCCAATCAGAGTCATCTCCTTCCATTTTTGTCCCCTGGACGCATGCTGTAGGTGTCAGCCGTACCCAGAGTGGAGTGAACAATCTCCAGACTAACTCTTGCAGGATGCAAAACTGAGGTATCTGCACCCATAATGCACCTGTATCCTACAATTACAAGTCCAGGATATGCATTCCTAGGAAACTGAGAATATAAGGAGTCACAGAAAGGCATCAGATGTGTCTAGCTCTGACATACACAGGTATTTATTGAACTCTGGGATTTCTTAGGAAAAATGCAGTGCAGAGAAAGGTTCCTGATGAGACCACAGCATACAGACCATCCAGTGTGGGCACCACCTTGTCACTACACTTTAAATTCTTCATATTGATTGAGGGCTATCTAAATGTCAGACCCTTTGCTGAGTGCTAGGTGCAGGAGGATCATAGGCAGCCAGGAGGTAGAGGGGTCTTGGGGTACATAAGTCATTGTGGTTGAAGAGCAGAGATTCAAAAAAAAGTTAGGCCTGGAGATTTAAAGGAGACCGAAGCTGGTGACTTCCTTATGTCAACTTCTGACTGAGAAAGTTTGACACCTGGAGTAGAATAAACACAGTGGGGTTAGGACTGCCAGCTTAGTGTTTTGTCCCCCATCCCTTTCCATCCCTGGTCCCTTCATTTTCTGACCCTCACAGTGTGAATAAACTGTCACAGATGCCAGACCATCTCCTTCTTGTCCAGGTGCACAAATAACTGCTCATCTTCATCAGATTCAAACATATACTCCCCAGAGGATCTGTGTGTCTGCACAAACTCTGCATACGTTGACACATGGTCTGCTGCATGAAGGGGAAGAAGACTGCAGAATGATGAACACATAGGAAACTACACAGAATACAAGAAGCAAGCAGGTAATGGGAAAGTTTTTAGGAATGCAAGGGAATAACACAGAAAATGAGAAATGCAAAAATGAATGAAAAGAAAAGGAATGGGGATAAACAATGATAGAAATGACTCATAGAAGATTTCAGTTGTTTCCCTGGTCTCTGAAGACTTACACAACCCTCACATCATTCCAATAATGATAACAATGAACACAATCAGAAAATATTCACTGAACATGTACCATGTGCTCAACTTATTCACTGAATCCTCACACTTCCACGTAGAAGTGTTCAAAGAAGGCCGGGCATGGTGGCTCACCCCTGTAATCAGCTGGGCATGGTGGCAGGTGCCTGTAGTCCCAGCTACTCAGGAGGCTGAGGCAGGAGAATGGCGTGAACCCAGGAGGTGGAACTTGCAGTGAGCCGAGATCGCGCCACTGCACTCCAGTCTGGGAGATAGAGTGAGACTCCTTCCCAAAAAAAAAAAAAAAAAAAAAAAAAAGTGTTCAAAGAAAAACTTCTGGCCAGGCACGGTGGCTCACTCCTGTAATCCCAGCACTTTGGGAGGCTGAGGCAGGTGGTTCACTTGAGGTCAGGAATTCAAGATCAGCCTGGCCAACATGGTGAAACCCCTTTGTCTCTACTAAAGATACAAAAATTAGCCAGGCATGGTGTCTGTAGTCCCAGCTACTTGGGAGGCTGAGTCAGGAGAATCACTTGAACCGGGAGGAGGAGGTTACAGTGGGCTGAGATTGCGCCACTGCACTCCAGACTGGGTGACGGAGTGAGACTCTGTCTCGAAAAAAAAAAACAGAAAAAAGAAAAAAAGAAAAACTTCATCTGAATTCAATTTAAAAGAGTCAAATTGAGCAATGAACGATTCATGAATCAGGCAGCCTCCCGAGGCAGAGTAGGCTCAGAGACTCCATTGCAGGCATGTGGTGGAAGATTTATGGACAGAAAAAGGAAAGTGACATACAGAAAACAGAAGTGAGGTACAGAAACACCCAATTGATTACAGCTGGGTGTATCCTTATTTGAACACAGTTTGAACAGTTGGCTACATATGATTGGCTGAAACTTGGTGATTGACACAAGTGTAGGCTGTTTACACCTCCACTTGTTATAGTTCACGATGTACAGAGAAACCTTTAGGCCAAACTTAAAATATGTAAGGAGGCAGCTTTAGGCTAAACTTGATTTAACAATTTTCCTCTTTTGGTAATCTTCTCAATTTTTAGAGATTTACCAAAACTTCAGTCATCGATGCCACTATCACCATTGTAAATGTACTTATTTGGTCTTGAAACCCCCTGGAAAATAGCAGAACAATGAGTTTTGTAAGAGGGAACAAGGATTTCAGGTTATTTTATTTTATTTTAATTTTATTTTTGAAGGGTTAGATTACAGGGTACCTCCTTTTGTTGGAACATTCTGTTTATAGGAGAAAAAAACAAAACCTGGCCTGTTTTAGGATCTATGTGTTTCCTTAAAGTCTTAGTTTAATCATGTCACATTTAGCACAAGTGACTCCATTTTGGTTTGGTCTGGTCTGTTGGGGCTTAGTGCATTTGGCCTTTCATTAAAGTCCAAAACAATGGCCTGCCATGATTTTGTTTAAAAATGTCCCCTTTTTGGTCACGTTCTCACTTAGGTGAGAACGTGACCAAAGCTTAGGGCCTTAGCGCCACTCTCAGTTACCATCATTTTGGGTTTCCAGTCTCGACACATCATTCATAGGTTAAAGTGCCCTCATGGTCACACATTTCTTTCAATCTTGTCATTCTAGTTGAAGAGAGACAATTTGACATTCTAGAGATGGCTGCATGCAAACATTTAAAACTTTCGAGAGAATACAGTGCACCAGATAGACTACTATTATGACTATCAGGAGGATAATACCAAGAGTTTGGAGTATGCTCCTTACACAGGGTCTCCATAAACCAAACCACCCAAAATTAAATAGATCAAAGAATGAGCTAAATAAAGAGTTTACTCATTTAAGCAGTCTCTTCATTAATTACCTACAACTGAATCTCTGTAATACCTGACGTGATGTATTTCTCCATAGGCCACAAGTGCCAGCAGCTGCACAGATACTTCTCTGTTTAGCCAGTAAGTAATCTACAGCAATCCTACTATTAAGCATAACTTTCACAAAAGAATGTAAAATCTGTTGTGTAACCATAGCCCTTACAGTAGACTCTGTTTAGAGCCTCTCATGAGGGATACATTTCTAATCATTGCCTGTTTTACTCCAAATCATGGTAAAAAGAACCTAAGGAACAATGCCCTTCTAGAAGACTGAAGGCCTCCTGGCAATGTTCTCTTTAACCCATGATGTGGAATAGGGGAGTGAATCAATGTTCTGTTTCTGACTGATTATGAGGCAACCTATGTACCATTAAAATTTCTCACCTACACTGGGCCTTCATCTTTCATCTATCAAGGTGTGAGGTTATCCATGTATAAGGCTGGCTGCAAAACCCTTCACCAATAAAAGTATACCTACCCCATGAGTGCACACAACAGACCCCCTTTTCACTTCTACTGTTCATAGAGGCATAAGCAAGGGAAAAAGTACTCAAAGATAAGAGCCTCCATATAGCAGAGAAGTCTTGATCTGTGATCTTGGTAAAAGCTGTTCACATCAAGGATACCATCTTCTTCTAGGGAGAAACTTCCCTGGTTAGCTTTACCTTACGGGTTCCAATGGGTGTATATTTCCAAGAATGTGGAGGGATCCTTCTCAGTTGTGAGATTATGAAGCCAAGGTTCATGGTTCTGATGTTTGCTGCAGTGTGGATGGCAAGGGCAGTCTTTCTCTGATGTTCTCAGAAGATCCAATCTTCAGGTTCTAGATTGTGAAGGGGTTGATTGTCCTCAGTCAGTGAACCATAAAAAGCTTTCTTTACCTGGTGAAAATACACTGTGAAATAATAATCTACTGTTATAACATCAGTTCACTTGTATAGGAAAGCTTTTACACAACCAGAAAACATGCATTGAAAATGACAATTGACTGAAATCTCTTCATAAATGTTTAAATGGCTCATGAGATAGCAGAATGTACCTGAAGCTTTGATTGTCTTCCCAGGAATATGGGTTTGGCAAACCAAACATTGGTCATAAACTATTTTAGCAATTTAGAAGTCACCACACCAATATGCATTTAACTTGGATCATTTTATCTTTTCCATGATGAGTCATGGAATGCAGAACTTTAAATTATAAAAGCTTTAAAAGCTCAGGAAGGATAAGGCAGCCACCTTGGTTCTCCATGAGTCCATGCTTGACACGGTTGTTTCTCCAATTGAGGTGCATAGCACTGATAACTGATGGGTTATCATAGGTAATTTGAGTTAGACCACAGAGTTTATTCAAATTGTATATCTAAACAATTTCAGTATTGGGTGATTTAGCATGAAAGACTTGCAAAGTATTTTCTTGGTATTCAATTAATTTGTGTTCTACTTGGGATGGCAGTTTTATAAACCAGTCAGTCTTTTAAGCTCCAGGAAGCAGGAGAATGGCGTGAACCTGGGAGGCGGAGCTTGCAGTGAGCCAAGATCGTGCCACTGCACTCCAGCCTGGGTGACAGAGTGAGACTCCGTCTCAAAAAAAAAAAAAAAAGCTCCAGGAATTCTTACCCAGTAAAAATGATATGATTCTAAAGTTATCAGAAACCTGTAATCAAGAATACTTTTTGGGGTCCTTTCCATCCTTTCAGGAACCTCCTAAAAGACACCATATTCTAGAATTGTGCCTACTTGTGAAGTTTTCAGAAATTGCACCAGCATTAAGCAATTAACTGTGGAAATGACCTTCCTTCCTTCCCTCCTTCCTTCCTTCCTTCCTTCCACTCTCTCTCTCTCTTTCTTTCTTTCCTTTATTTTGAGACAGAGTATCACTCTGTCACCCATGTTGGAGTGCAGTGGTGCAATCTCGGCTCACTGCAACTCCGCCTTCCAGGCTCAAGCAATTCTCATGCCTCAGACTCTCCAGTAGCTGGAACTGCAGGTGTGCAGCACTGCACCAGGCTAATTTTTGTATTTTTAGTAGAGACTGGGTTTCACCCTGTTGGCCATCCCCAAAAGGATATTTAGCCTTAGATTTTGAGAGGGATCTATCTGCTTTTGATTCCTGGTGTTTCAGGAGGAAAACCGAGTTATATCCCAAAGCAGGATCGTAGTGCCTCCTCTGTTTTTCCCAAGGAGTCCCAGGCTGTTAGAAGTTACCTTAGGTCCTCTCATGTGTGCAACAAAAGTGGCAAGAAGACAAAATGGAGAAAAACAATTCAGTTGGCTAAAAAGAAAAAAATAATTAAAAAAAAACAAAGATCCAAGAAGAGAAAAAACCAAAAGGCCCTTTAAATATACCTATAGCTTGGATATCCACTTTTAATTAAGCTGACTTTTAACTATAGCACTCTTTCTAAAAAAAAAAAAAAATTATTTGATTGTTTTTAGAGACGGAGTCTTGCTCTCTTGCCCAGGCTGGAGTGCAGTGGTTCAATCTCAGCTCACTGCAACCTCCGCCTCCCAGGTTAAAGCGATTATCCTGCCTCAGCCTCCTGAATAGGTGGGACTACCAGTGCGAGCCACCACATCCAGCTAATTTTTGTATTTTTAGTAGAGACAGGGTTTCTCCATGTTGGTCAGGCTGGTCTCAAACTCCTGACTTCAGGTGATCCATCCTCCTTGGCCTCCCAAAGCGCTGGGATTGCAGGCATGGACCACTGCGCCCAGCCTAAAATAATCATTTTAAATCTCTTATTACTTGACTTTAGCCAGGCCAAACAGCCAATATGTCTGGCTTTTGAACTTTACCAAAGGTAATCTCCCAGGTGAAACCAATAAGCTTTAACAAGGTTATGACTTAACCACAAGTGTACGAAGTATTTTCAAAAAGGTAGCAAGCAATTTTTACAAACTCTAGGATTTCCAAACGTAGCTCAGAGAAAGGAAAATTCAAGACGAGAGTCAGAAGTTGTTCATGAGGGGAAGAGAATCAGCAAATAGCAAAGATCAGAAAGATATCAAACCAAACAGGTCTCATTCCCTGAGCTGGAATTGAACCCTGCCTGGCTGCCATCATAAGATGGCAAAGCTTAGCCACTAAGCTACACCGTTGGTGGTTTCCATTGTTCCTCCCAGAAGGAGGAGCCTAAGAGCAGCCAATTTTCAGCTTGCAAAGGCTTTTAACTGCTCAAGATAATTTTTAGAGCTAACTATGACATGAACTCCAAAATTCCTGTCCTCCAGAGGGTGGAGACCAAAAGAAAGTACCATCATGTGATTATAAGGTCAAGCTCCCAATGACATAAAACAAGATGACAGGGAAACCTTATCCAGTGTTTTTTTGTTTCAGGGACCCGCAGTTTGTAACTGACCAGTTTGCCAGGCTGGCTTGAACAGCAGACTTCTGGGAGTCCTAGGCCCACATTTTATCCTATTTAACCCCTTTTATGACCAAATGACACAGAAAGACCAATTCATAGCACAAAGTACACCAGGTTTGCTACAGCTTAAGATTGGCTCACAAATACCTTTTTTTTTTTTTTTTTTTTTTTTTTTGAGACGGAGTCTCGCTGTCGCCCAGGCTGGAGTACAGTGGCGCGATCTCGGCTCACTGCAAGTTCCACCTCCCGGGTTCACGCCATTCTCCTGCCTCAGCCTCCCGAGTAGCTGGGACTACAGGCGCCCGCCACCTCGCCCGGCTAATTTTTTGTATTTTTAGTAGAGACTGGGTTTCACTGTGTTAGCCAGGTTGGTCTTGATCTCCTGACCTCGTGATCCACCCGCCTCGGCCACCCAAAGTGCTGGGATTACAGGCGTGAGCCACCGCACCCAGCCTCACAAATCCTTTTTATCATTAATTAAAACTTTGCAGAGGAGACAGTGATTTTTACTACTCCTACAACCGTTTCCACACAGAGAGAGGCCAGAAGCCTGACTGCTAAGAAATTCTTACCCTTTTGCCAGCATGCCAGGCTTCTGGGTTCCCTCTTTCTGAGTGGCCCTAGCGACCCTGTTAGCTGCACATAGCCTGGGGGCCAAGCCACAACACAAAGGAAAATCATCTTTTCTGATTTCAGGGAACCATAGGCAAAAGCCTCTCAATTTTGTAAGATGCTGCCCAAGAGATTGCATGAGGGAACTGAATTAACATTTTCCCTTCCAGCCACAGCAAAATACATGTGACAAAACATAGACATTAGCCACTCTGCTTAGTGCCCAATATTGAACTGGTAAGGCTTAAACTTGCCCCTGGTGGGGCTCTGCTATCTTTAATCTATTCAAAGTGGGGTGGAATGGCCTCCAGCCAGAAGTTTCAACATGTGATCTCTAGACAAGATATAATAGAAAGCTGGAAAAAGGAGGCCGGGCATGGTGGCTCACGCCTGTAATCCCAGCACTTTGGGAGGCCGAGGTGGGCAGATCACGAGGTCAGGAGATAGAGACCATTCTGGCTAAGACGGTGAAACTCCGTCTCTACTAAAAATACAAAAAAAAAAAAAATTAGCCAGGCGTGGTGGCGGGCGCCTGTGGTCCCAGCTACTCCGGAGGCTGAGGCAGGAGAATGGCATGACCCTCGGAGGCAGAGCTTGCAGTGAGCCGAGATCGCACCACTGCACTCCAGGCTGGGTGACATAGCAAGACTCTGTTTCAAAAAAAAAAAAAAAAAGAAAGAAAGATAGAAAAAGGAAAGAAGAGAAAGAGAGAAAGAAAAGCATTGTCTGCAGCAGGGTGGGGAAGGCAAAGAGTTCAGGGAGGACAGAGAAGGACCCACCTATTGCAGTGACACTAAATTAAAAGTTCAGGGCCAGGTGCGGTGGCTCATGCCTTTAATCACAGCACTTTGGGAGGCCAAGGTGGGCGGATCACCTGAAGTCAGGAGTTCGAGACCAGCCTGACCAACATGGTGAAACCCTGTCTCTACTAAACACAAAAAATTAGCCAGGCATGGTGGTGGGCGCCCGTAATCCCAGCTACTCGGGAGGCTGAAGCAGAAGAATCACTTGAACCCAGGAGGCGGAGGTTGCAGTGAGCTGAGATTGTGCCACCGCACTCCAGCCTGGGAGACAGAGTGAGACTCCGTTTCAAAAAAAAAAAAAGTTCAGGCAGCTGCTTGTCAGTCATGAAGGATCTTTTCCAGCCGTCTCATCAGCTCTCAAGTTTCCTGCTTTGGGGAGAAAAAAGTTCCCCATGTCCCATGATCCTGTACATGCCTAATCCTGTCACACACAGCCATCAGCAAAAAGCGCAAGGCAGATTTAATTTTTTAAATCAATTAGTTGTTTAAGCTTTTTAATTCTTTTTTGTAAAGTCTTTAAATGCAAATATTGAAATTTTTTAGAAGCTTCTGCATATCAATAGGCATCCCTACATGAGACTGTACATGAGACTAATCTGGGAGCCCTCATTTTCAAATGCACTTCAGTGCAGTGTTGTTCTTTTGGAATGTTCTACTGCAAGTTATCTTTAGTAAAAAAAAAAAAAAATTTTTATTTGAGACACAGTCTCTGTCACCCAGGCTGGAGTGCAGTATTATGATCTCAGCTCATGGCAGCCTCCACCTCCTGGGTTCAAGTGATTCTTGTGCCTCAGCCTCCCGAGTAGCTGGAATTACAGGCACATGCCACCATGCCTGGCTAATTTTTTTTTTTAATTTTTAGTACAGACAGGGTTTCACAGTGTTGGCCAGCCTGGTCTCAAACTCCTAGCCTCAAGCAATCTACCCACCTTGGCCTCCCAAAGTGCTGGGATTACAGGTGTGAGCCACCACGCCTGGACAATTTCTGTAAGGCGTTGCTCCTTCCAGGGCCTAATACTTATGCATGTATAATCCAGAAGGAACTCAGTTCTTCAGAAATTCAGTATCACATTTTTTACCTCAAATACTGGCTTTGCTCTCAGGTCCCTTGTTCAACTTAGCCAATGATTTTTTTTCCTACCTAAGTGCACAAGAAAAATAAAGGAGTAGAACATAAAAATCTCTGTGAATTTCCAAAAGCCAAATTTTACACCTTTGCAATATTGCCATTTAATACTGGTTTCTTTCTGATCCAGTTAGATGTAAGAGGTCTCTAACCGGATCCAAGCCAGTTAATTACTGGAGCCAATCCGATCCTGGACTCAGTTCAATTTCTTTCGCGACTTTCAAATCCAATCAGGATCAGAAATTTACTCAAAGAAACTCAGAGAGCTCAACACACAAATCTGTGGAGCTTCGGAATCTGCAAGAGAACTTACCACGATCCCCAGCTGCTCCGAGAGAGAAAGAGACACAATGGGCCTGGAGGGTACCTCACTAGGTCACTCAGCACTTCTGGGGGTCATTAGAAGCTCTACTTCCAACCCCACTTCTGACACCACCTGATAAAAGAAAAACTTCAGCCGAATAAATTTTAAATGAGGTTAATTGCGCAATAAACAATTCACAAATCGGGCAGCCTCCCAAGCCAGAGTATGCTCAAAGTCTCCAGCACAGCTGCGTGGTGGAAGAAAGTTTATGGACAGAAAAAGAAAAGTAACATACAGAAAACAGAAGTGAGGTACAGAAACAGCCAGATTGGTTACAGCTCAATGTTTGCCTAACTTGAACACAGTTCAAACAGTTAGCTACATATGATTGGCCAAAACTCAGTGATTGGCACAAGTGTAGGCTATGGTCTGTTTACACCTCCACTTGTTATAGTTCATGATGTACAGAGAAACCTTTAGGCCAAACTTAAAATATGTAAGGAGGCAACTTTAGGCTAAACTTGATTTAACAGAGGAAATTATTTTACATATTGGGGAACGGACCACAGAAGTAAAGTAACTCACCCAAGTCACACAACTCCTGGTAGAAACAAAATTGCATAGTCCCCCTACCCCATTCCCATAGGATCTCAGAACCCCTACAGGACCAGACATAAAAAATACTGATATAGCCACAGAGAAAGGCAGGGAAGTAGGGAGATGAAATAAAAATCTTTCAGGGAAAAAAATAATGAAGGACATGAAAAGACCTCCAGAGTAAGTCTTAGTGCTATTTATAGACTTCAAGTTATGTTCTTACTTTTAGAATAAAAATGGTACCTTATATAATTTTATCAAAACACTTTCATTTTAAGTCATAGTAAATTTAAAAATGTTGTCATGCACATAACATTCACAAAATGTTCTTGTTGAATGTATATTTTCAAGTGTAGTTCTACCTGGAAATAAAAGTTGTTGCATTTGAAACACCTATGGGATAGTATCTTAGCTTTACCTGATGTATAAGACGCAGCAAAAGGTTGACAACAAAAAAGTCTATTACTATTACAGTAAAAGAATAAAGATGAGAGAGCATGGAGTCCAGCCTGGAAGAGGAAGTGAGGCGAAATGACACTGCATGGTTGTTGGTCCTAAGCAAGGATTTCCCCTCCAAGCCCAACACGGGGAAAATCTCCTTGGATGCGTCAAGTGACGGCAAGTTCAGTGTCACACACGGATGTTGAGGGTCCTCCACTGAGTTTATGGGCTAGAGAATTACTCACCTACAGAAACGAAGCCCAAAGAAAAAACAGATGAAAAACATGATATACAAGCTGTGCTACAGAGATGTCGTTTGTTCACCTTAGGTTACTTTGTTTTTATTATACTCACAAAGCCTAAAACTAAAGGTCCGTGCATTTTAAAGCAAATTCCACCTTCAAATGTTAATTTTCATTCTGTTAAATAAACACTCATTGTGAATTTTCACTCTTTAGGCACTAAGGATGTAACTCAGAAGACCTGGGCCTTGTCCTCAAGCTGCTTGAAATCCAAAATCCAAAGAGACAAAGAAAAGAAGATTGCTACATGTGTATTTTATTTTGTGTTTTTTAATCTTTTATTTCCATAGGTTATTTTGATCACCACTGAGTACCATAAGATATACACTGGAGCCACTCAGGAGCATAAAGAGGGCATTTTTGAAAAATGAGATTTAGGAAAGGTTCCTAGGGATAGTGTTTACCTGAGGTTAGCAAAACAGAGAAAGGGGAAATGACATGTCCAGCAGGAGAAGCAGGCTCAGGAGCAGAGAGGCATGAAGTTGCAAGGAGAACTGCAGTTCTTCAGTGTGACTGAAGCCAGGGGAGATGTGCGCCGGGCGGCACTGTAACCTGCCTTGTGTGCTGATGGCAGGTGTTTGCATTTTATCCCACAGGACATAGGAAGTTGTGAAGCATCTTAAGCAGGACAGTAACATGATGAGATTTGTGTTTGGAGGGGGCAGCAGTAGGGAGGATGGGTTGGAGGAGGCTGGTTTGAAAGCAAGACCAATAGGACTCTTCAGCCATCAGATGGGAAGTCATGAGGGTGTAGGCAGGGGCAGGAACATGGGGTGAGGCGGACAGCGGATGGGTTTGAATGGCAATAATGAAACGAAAAGCCACAGGAATCACTAAATCATGTGCCGGAAGTAGGGATATGAAGGAGTCCAGAATACCCAACGTGGAGAACTGGGGCATCAGTGACTGCAAAGGTAATGAAAAATGAAATAATCGAGAGAAGGTAAGATGTTCTGTTTGGAACATGCTTAGTTTGAATTTCTGTGGGAACAAATGGAGTTAATCTGAGGATAGTGAGCTAAATGGTTGGGTCCCAGGGTACACTAGGTTAGTGACACAGACTGGAAGGAAGCTCATTATAAGTGAAGTTCTAAATTTGGATCAGGTCACTCAAGAAAAGTACATAAAGTCAGAATAGCAAGGGTCTGAGTGTGTGCTCCTGCATCCAGACAAACACAGACATGAAAAAAGAGGCTGAAAAGGAGAAGACTAGAAAGTAGGAGGAAAACAAAGAGGAAGTGGGTTCATAAAAGACAACAGACAGGAGAAAACATCCAGGAAAGAGGAGCGGACGCATCACAAACACACTCATGACACACAAGAGATAGAGACAGAGAAGTGATCACTGGTTTGGGTTGTATAAAGGTCACCCTGAGAGCAGCATCAGAGACATGGGGAAGAAAAAGGGAGAATGCAGTGGGTTGAAGACTGAATGAAATGAGAGAGAGTCACTAACGGGCTGGGTGTGGTGCCCCACACCTGTAATCTTAGTGCTGTGAGAGGCTGAACAGGAGGATCACTTGAGGCCAGGAGTTTGAGACCAGCCTAGGAAATACAGTGAGACTCCATCTCTAAGGGGAAAAAAAAAAAAAAAATATATATATATATATATATATATATATATATAATTATCCAGGTGTAGTGACAGACACCTGTAGTCCCAGTTACCCAGGAGGCTGAGGTGTGAGGATCCCTTGAGCCTGGGAGTTCAAGGTTGCAGTGAACTGTGATCACGTGATTGCACTCCAGCCTGGGCAACAGAGCAGGACCCTGTCGAGAGAGAGAGAGGAGAGAGAGAGAGAAAAGAAGAAGAAGAAAAAGAAGAAGAAGAGGAGGAGGGGGAGGGAGAAAAGGAAGGAAGGAAGGAAGGAAGGAAAAAAACCCACATTGCAGACTCCTATTTGAGGAAGCTGACCTCTACAATCTACGAGAGAATCTCCAGAGGAGGTTGCCAAGCCCTGGCTCTTCTCTCTTCAGCGAGAGGACGTGGGGGAAAGGAGACATTTATGAATCTCTTTGAGTCTCAGTCTTTTCATTTCTAAAATTGTGTTAATAAAAGCCTTTCTGAAAATGGTGTTGTGAGGAAGGACATGAGGTTTGGCACTTAGGGGGTGTTCAGTAAATGGTGGTTATTATTGTTAGAATGAGAGAAAGCAAAAGAGAGCCTCAGGCAAAACAGTAAAGAACAGAGAAAACAGAACAGGAAAGAAAACAGCATCTGTGGGCTCCAGAAGCGCCCAGAGCCCCCACCCTCCCTCGCCCACCTGCGCACTCACCCCTGATGGCCCAGGTTCCGAGAGGCTAAGCAGGGCAGCCAGGGCCATGGCTCACAGGAGGATCCTGGCTCTGCGCTGGCTCCTTCAGTCTTCAGGGTGTATTGCAATGGCCACTGTGCGCCAGACCCCAAGGAGAAAATGAGGCGGCGCAGGGACGGAGGAGCTCCGAATCCAGCACTCCTTTCCCTACCCCTGTCCAGGGAGAAAGGCTGGAGATGAAACAGCCTGATGGGGCTCAACCAACCAGAATACATCAGAAGGGACGCCTCTGTGGCTGGGGAAGGAAGATGCTAGAGCTGCTGGGAGGAAGTGGGAGAATTGTCAGGCACCAGCATGGCCCAGGAAGCCCCTGACTACTGCAGAGTGTAGGGGTAAGTGAAGAAAACGAAAATTAGGACATCATAATCACCTTCTTCTTAATGAGGAAATACATTACGCAAGTTGGGATTTTTTATTTGTAGTTACTTCTGTGAATGGATGATATTTCTTCACAATTTTACATTGATTCTTTGCATCATAAAGGAATTAATTTGTTACCATTTGATATTATATTGACTCTTTTATAGCTATGATAATTTTGGAGAAAATCTTTGATGTTTTCAAACATATAAGGAGAAGGAAATAATATTTAATTATTTAATTAGTAATTATTATTTTATTTCTTCTTCATATAAAAATGTGGTGAGGCTGGGCGCACAGCTGAATGAAATTTAAAAGAGTCAGCTGGGCATGGTGGCTCATGCCTGTAATCCCAGCACTTTGGGAGGCTGAGGCGGGTGGATCATCTGAGGTCAGTAGTTAGAGACCAGCCTGGCCAACATGGTGAAACCCCATCTCTACTAAAAATACAAAAATTAGCTGGGCATGGTGGCACGTGCCTGTAATCCCAGATACTCGAGGGGCTGAGGCAGGAGAATTACTTGAACCCAGGAGGTGGAGGTTGCAGTGAGCCGAGATCACACCATTGCAGTCCAGCCTGGGCAACAAGAGCAAAACTCCGTCTCAAAAAAAAAAAAAAAAAAAAGAATGTGGTGATACAAAGAACCCCACTTTAAATTTTATGTTTAAGAACAATTTCTTTTTCTCCTTTATTTTCTGTGTGTGTGTGTGTGTGTGTGTGTGTGTGTGTGTGTGAGAGAGAGAGAGAGAGAGAGAGAGAGAAAGACAGACAGGGTCTCATTCTGTTAACCAGGCTGGAGTGCAGTAGTACGATCTCAGTTCACCATAGCCTGCACCTCCTGGGCTCAAACAATGCTGCCACTCAGCCTGCCCAGTAGCTGGCACCACAGGCACATGCCACCATGTGCCTGCATGTTAATTCATGTACTTCCTCTTTCCCAAGTTCTCTAGTTTATAGCATGTCCTTTCCTGAGGAACATAAATCACATGTTATTGTCTGCCTTTCATCCTGAGAGGAAGGAGATAATCACATGGCCATTTTATGCTTGAAGGATTTGGTGATCACTGGGTCCAATGAAGAGCCTCAGGATGAGTCAGTGTGGTTTTACCCAGGCATGGAGAAATTAACTTCTTGATGATGATCAAGTCTTCTTATTAAATAGGAGTGCAACTGATAGAGGATCTTCTTACATTTGCTTTATTTCATGGTGCTGCCCAAATTCATGCTGTACCCTCAGCAGCAAGGAGTGGGACCATTACTCCTGGCGTTCCCAGATGGAACAGACACCAAGCCTGGCTTTGCCACTGAACACAATACAGGACTGATAAAGGTCAGTTCTTAGGAATATGCTTCCCAAATGTAGAAATCAACATAAGATCCCAATTTTAAATAATAGGTATAATAGCATAATATATTATTTTATTTTATTTATTTAGAGATGGAGTCTCACTCTATCACCCAGGCTGAAATGCAATGGCATGATCTCAGCTTACTACAACCTCTGCCTCCAGGGTTCAGGCGATCCTCCCATCTCAGTCTCTAGAGTACCTGAGAGCTAATTTTTTGTTTTTGGTAGAGATGAGGTTTTACCATGTTGGCCAGGCTGGTCTTGGACTCCTGAGCTCAAGTAATCCACCCACCTCAGCCTCCCAAAATGCTGGGATTGCAGAAGTGAGCCACCATGCCCAGCCGCATAATACATTATCGTTCTCTTTATATATAATTTGTACTAAGTTATAGATACACACTTATTCCATAACTCTATGTTCACCAGATCACCTCTTGCAGGTTGTACAGTGAAAACACATCCTTAGTTTCAAAAGATGTGTGTATACCAGATTTTTCAGACATAGGCTTGGTTTTAGAATACAGTTTACTATGATTTTTGTAATTCATCTTAATTGATGTTTAATACCGAGAGAGAAGTCATATTGTCTCCAGTCATTTCATGTTATGATGTGCCACTAAGTCCAAATTTTATATAATAGTAATCAGGAGGCTGGGCACAGTGGCTCACGCCTGTAATCCCAGCACTTTGGGAGGCCAAGGCAGGCAGATCACCTGAGGTCGGGAGTTCAAGACCAGCCTGACCAATATGGTGAAATCCTGTCTCTACTAAAAATACAAAAATTAGCTGGGTGTGGTGGTGGGCGCCTGTAATCCCAACTACTTGGGAGGCTGAGGCAGGAGAATCGCTTGAACCCAGGAGGCGGAGGTTGCAGTGAGCTGAGACCACACCATTGCAGTCCAGCCTGGGCAACAAGAGCGAAACTCCATCCCCCACTCCCAAAAAAAAAAAAAAGTTATCAGGAAAACTTATAGTTGCTACAATATTATTAGATTAATACGAATTTTCAAAAATGGCAGAGCCTTAACCAAGCTTAAAGAGTTTTTCTTTCTTAACTGAACTTCTTGGATGTGACTACATGAAATTTTGATGAAATATGGTCATAAATTATGATGACAAGTTAGTTTTGGGGGATTTTATATATTACCAGATACCAATGCCAGAGGAAGAGCTATGTTAGGGGTCCTCAGAGCCACCCCAGGTGAGATGATGCCCTAGGAGGACTCACAGGGCTCATCATATGGTCCTACTCAGGGCTCTGATTCATTACAGTAAAAGGATGCAAAGCAAACTCAGCAGAGGGAAAGGCACACGGGGCAAAGCCTGAGAGAAACCAGGCTCAGGCTTCCAAGGATCCTGTCCCCCTGGAGCCACACAGGACACACTTAATTCCTCCCACAAGGAGCTGGGATGCCATGTGTAAAATATCGTCTACCAGGAAGTTCGTAACAGACCAGCACTAGGGCCTTTGGGGGCTTTGGGGGCCTTTGGGGGCCTTTGGGGGCTGAAGAAGTCAGACTTCTTCAGAGAAACAGAATTTATTGGATATATATAGGTAGATAGATGAGTGGGGATTTATGCTGGGGATTCACTCCCTCAACTATGGAGGCTGAGGAGTTCCACGTTAGGCCTTCTGCAAGCTGCTGAGACAGGGGAGCCTGTAGCATGGCTCAGTCCAAGTCTGAAGGGCTGAGAACCGGGGGAGCTGGTGGAGTAACTCTGAGTCCAAGACCAAAAACCTGGGGGGCTGCTGGTGCAAGTCCCTGAGTGTGAAGGCCAGAGAACCTGGAGATCTGATGTCCAAGGGGAGGAGAATATAGGACTCCCTACTCCAAAACAGAGAGAGAGTGAATTCACCTTTTTTCTGCCTTTTTGTTCTAGCCAGGCCTTCAGCCGACTGAATGGTGCAGTGAGCTGAAATCACACCACTGCACTCCAGCCTGGGCAACAGAGTGAGACTCTGTCTCCAAAAAAAAAGAAAAAGAAAGTCATATATTGGTACAGAAGATACTCTTAAATCCTACTTTTCTGGAAATGTTGGTTATTATAGAAGATATAGGACTAAATTCATTTTAAAATTTTTATTTTGAAATTATTATTACAAATGTTTTATGAATCATATTAGCATATAGGCAAGTTTTGGAAAGCCAAAGTTACAAACCAGGGATTCAGATGAGTGTTCTGTGAAATTTTTAATTTTTGCAGAACACCATGAGAAATTACACATTTTCTATTCTATATTTCTTGTAGGAAATAGAGGCTGCCCATCTCTCAGTGCCACATATGAGAAAGGGAAGTTGTCATTTTATATATCCACTGTCAAGCATCTTGGTAAAACAGAAGAAAGCAGGCTGGGCCTGGTGGCTCATGCCTATAATCGCAGCACTTTGGGAGGCCAAGGAGGGCAGATAGCTTGACCAGCATGGGCAACATGGCAAAATCCTGTCTCTACAAAAAAATAAAAAAAAACAAAAAATAAATGTAGTCCCAGGTACTGAGGAAGCTGAGGCAGGAGGAACACTTGAGCCTGGGAGGTAAAGGCTTCAGTGAGCCGTGATAATGCCACTGCACTCCAGCCTAGACAACAGAGTGAGACCCTGTCTCAAGAAAAAGAAAAACAAGAGGGAGGCAATCTACTTTATACCCAGAGAATTTTACATGCAAGGAATTTGACTATGAATAAGCCTCCATTGCTTAAGAGAGACTTCACTATTTGGGATTTTAAGAAAGAAATACACAAACAAGCAAATCTCATCAGCAGAGGACTGAGAAACCAGTGTTTATAATACCCAGTGATTAATGTAATATTGTCTTCAGTCATCATTAAAAGGGACTTAGTTTAAAAGTCATTTCGATTGATCGCCGACTCAGAGTCCTCAACATTTCACCTTTTGCTTTATGAAAAGAACTAGTAGATTAATTTAGAGTTTGACAAGGAGAAGCAGGTCTCCCTTGATTTTCTGTTTGGCCAAGAATTTATCCTAACATGGTACCATCAGAATACTGTCAGAAAGCTGTGAGTCAACTCAGATTTCTCACCATTGAGTCAAGCCGTGAAGCCAGCTGTCTTGGGGGTAAGGATTTCCATACAGAAACACTGTAAGTAAATAATTTAGCACTTGTTTCCTATTCCTTTTTATTGGATAACTACAGAGAATTAAAACTGTGGGTTGTTTTGAATTCACAAAAGAAATGTTTTAAAGCTTTCGAGGAAAAAGCCAGATTATCCATTGCAAAGCATCGAAATTCAAAATCATGTTAAGGCTATAGAGAAATAGGATCCTATCCCCACCTAGTGGCCAACACTGAAATCTGGGCTTAGAACAGGAAACAAGGGAATTTGTCAACAATTTGGGAATACTCCAGCATTCTTTACAAAAAAAAGTTAGAGAAAAAGTTAAGCACACAAAAAACACAAGTCAAAATAAATACGACCAAATACATAGGTTTTGGCAGCACATAGATTTCTGTGGTTTTGCTATGCTTTTAGCAGCGGCTGTAAAAAGCATTGCACACTAAGCATTGCTAGATTGCCAAACAAACCTAATTACATTTTTTGTTTGGTTTTTTGTTTTTTTCAAAACCTCCTAACCTCTGTGACCTAATTATGTTTTTAATGAGTTGATTGTAAAAACTAACATCAGCGAATACAAAATTTCAGTTAGACAGGAGGAATAAATTCAAGATATGTACTGTACAACATGGTGACTCTAGTTAATAACAATGTACTGTGTACTTGAATATTGCTAAGTGAATAATTTTAAGTGTTCTCACCCAACACAAAAAATATGTAAGGTAATGCACATATTAATTAGCTTGATTTAGCCATTAAACAATGTGTGTGTGTGTGTATATATATATATATATATATATAAACATCATATTGTATACCATAAACAGATTCAATTTTTGTCAATTAAACAAAGAATTAAATGAATACATATATTTTTGTTGCACAGATGTATGATTGATCAATAAAGATTCTAAAATATTTGTTAAAAGTTACAAACTGAGGGAAAGCCTTCGACATCGTATTTGCAAGAAAGAAAGTGTACATAGTTAGACAGTCCTAGTATCTGTAAAGTGGGTGTGATCATCGGAGGGCAATCCCTTGAGCAGTGCTGTCCTATACAATGTTCTGCTGTTAGGGAAATGTTCTGTATCTATCCAACCGAGCCGCCACTAGCCACAGGTGGCTCTTGAGCACTTAAAATGCTAGCAGCTGGTGAGACGAAGGGGCTGAAGTTTTCATTTAATTTCAAATTAAGGCAGAACCGCCTATAAGAGAAAGTGCTAAAGAATTGGAAAAATGAAAAAGAATTTGAGAACCCAGTGGGAATGGAGCTAAAGTGTATGGTCATGGCTCATTAGATTTGGGGATATCGGAATCCCAACAGCACAATGGGCTCATTAGAAAATTAACAAGGTTACAAAACAGGTTAAAGGAAGTATCAAAAATAGTCCAATTTTAGCAGATACAGAAGCTGCAAATTTAGCAGTAGTTTTGGCAAACCCTCAATTCATGTAATTTAACAGTGCTAGGGACCAAACCGAAGGGGAATGCCAAGACAAAAAGCTTATAAACGTTAAGAGCTCATTTCTCTTAGAACATACAGAAACAGGGCACTTCCACACCTTCGATTCATTCTCCAAGCTTAAAGAGCTTTGCCCTAAAACCAGATCCTCTCATACGATGGGACAAACAGCCCCAATGTTCTTCCCTCCAGATCTGTTCCAACCTGTGTCTGGAGACACTCTGCACTCACGTTAAAACAGTTTAGACAAAGGACAATGTTTAGGAATTCCAGAAACTTTGGGATATAACATCAATGGCAACTTTTAATTAGGAAAACCCAATCTAATAAGAAGGGCTATTTTGAATACCAGGGTATGTGGAGGGGAAAGTATGAAGGTGGAAGGTTATGAAACATTAATGGGAGATACAGAGAACCAAGAAAGCTTCTATGGTGATTTCTCCTGCCCCTGGGCATGTTATCTGAACTTACGATTGCAACTGTGGGAGCTGGAAAAGCTCTTAAGAACCTCTAGAATTCCACTTCCCCACAAAACAACGTAATATGAAATAGTGACAAATCCCTAGGAGAATATGTAAAATAACAATTATGATAACATTGTTGGAGAAATCTGAGATAAAGAGTAGGACTCTTTAACAACTCATTTTGGCCAGTCAAAAGGTAGGTGGAGCTTGGAAGTGAATTGTGAATTACACCGATATTAAGAAAAGCAGCTAATTCTGAAGTAGTATTAAGTGGCAGTGACTATTCTAATCACTTTAAATATTTAACTCAATTATGAAAAAAATGTGATTAGCACTGTACATGATATTATTTCCTTAGTAGAAGATCTTGCTAAATCAACCCTTGATTAGCATTCATGCATCAATCTGGCTGATGTATCCTTTTCAATCCCAATAAATTATATTCACCAACAGTCTGCCTTCACTTGGCAGCCCCAACCTTTACTAAGTTGCCAGAGTAAATTCTCCCACCTCCGAGGTACAATCCATTGAGCAAAATTTAAACAGCCTAAATCCAATTCAAGAATTAACATTGTTTTATTATCCTAATGACACATTAACCAGGAGTGACTTGAAAAAAGCTGGGTCCATGAGGAAACTTTTTGGGGTAATAGAAATATTATCTTCATTGTAGTAGTAGTTACACAATGAATATGTTTGTCAAACTCATAAACAACTGTACAGCTATGGTTTCACTGTATTTAAATTATATCTCAGTAAACCTGATTTTATTTATTTATTTATTTATTTATTTATTTATTTATTTATTTATTTTTGAGATGGAGTCTCACTCTGTTACCCAGGCTGGAGTGCAGTGGCGCAATCTTAGCTCACTGCAACCTCCCCCTCCCAGGTTCAAGCAATTCTCCTGCCTTAGCCCCAAGTAGCTGGGATTATAGATGCGCACCACCATATCCAGCTAATTTTTGTATTTTTAGTAGAGACGGGGTTTCACCATGCTGGCCAGGCTGGTCTCAAACTCCTGACCTCAGAAGATCCGCCCACCTCAGCCTCCCAAAGTGCTGGGATTACAAGTGTGAGCCACTGTGCCTGGCCTGAACCTGGTTTTTTTTAAAGCAACTGCATCAAAAACCTCTGTCTTCCATTATTAATTTTATGAGTTAAAAGGAACAGAGTATAAAAGAGCACAAATTTTGGTAAAATTTTGGGGAGAAAAATTCTGCCCAAGACCAGGTAAAAGCCTTTGTGCTTGAAAGCCCCCAACTTGAAAAAGAGGAACAGAAATTAATTGGCGTGTTTGAATTATGAAGACTGCATATCCCACATCTGTATTAAACTTGGGTCTCTTCATTGAATTATGTGGGTCCTTAAAAGAGCCTCAGAGCTGTGCTGTCTAATATGGTAGCACTAGCTAGCTACCTGTGGCCATTTAAATTAAATAAAATTAAAATTGAATTTCAAATTGAGTTTCTTAGTGCACTAGCCATGTTTCAAGTGCTCAATAGCCACATGTGAATAGTGGCCACCACATTAAATTGCATAAATGTAGAACATTTCCATCATCACAGAAAGTGCTCACAGACTTAGAGGCCAAACTGTCTTAGAGGCCAAACAGGTATATAGACCACTGGAGTTTAATGACTTAAGTATTGAATACAAAATTAGGTGGCATATGTCTCTGAAAATTCAATTGGCTGATATTTCTAACCATTAAAACCATCTTGAGATGGCCAGGTGCAGTGGCTAATGCCTGTAATCCCAGCATTTTGGGATGCTGAGGCGGGTGGATCACCTGAGGTCAGGAATTCGAGACCAGCCTGGCCAACGTGGCAAAACCCTGTCTCTACTAAAAACACAAAAAAATTAGCTGGGCATGTATCTGGGGAACCCACCCCCAATATTTCAATGCAGGTTCTTTCTATTTTCCCTAAGTGTCGGCCAGTCTGAGAAATAAAGAGAAAGAGTACAAAGAGAGGAATTTTACAGCTGGGCCGCCAGGAGTGACATCACATATCAGTAGGTCCATGATGTCCACCTGAGCCACAAAACCAGCAGCTTTTTATTAAGGACTTCAAAAGGGGAGGGGGTGTACAAACAGGGAGTAGGTCACAAAGATCACATGCTTCAAAGGGCAATAAAGATCACAAGGCAAAAGGCAAAGCAAAGATCACAAGGCAAAGGGCAAAATTAGAATTACTGATGAGGGTCTATGTTCAGCTGTGCACATATTGTCTTGATAAACATCTTAAACAATAGAAAACAGGGTTCGAGAGCAGAGAACCGGTCTGACCTCAAATTCACCAGGGTGGGGTTTTTCCCCACCCTAGTGAGCCTGAGGGTACTGCAGGAGACCAGGGCGTATTTCAGTCCTTATCTCAACCGCATAAGACAGACACTCCCAGAGCGGCTGTTTATAGACCTCCCCCCCAGGAATGCAATTATTCTCCCAGAGTATTAATTATCAATATTCCTTGCTAGGAAAAGAATTTAGCGATATCTCTCCTACTTGCACGTCTGTTTATAGGCTCTCTGCAAGAAGAAAAATATGGCTCTTTTAGCCCAACCCCACAGGCAGTCAGACCTTATGGTTGTCTTTCCTTGTTCCCTAAAATCGCTGTTATTCTGTTCATTTTCAAGGTGCACTGATTTCATATTGTTCAAACACACATGTTTTACAGTCAATTTGTACAATAGTGGCCCTGAGGTGACGTACATCCTCAGCTTGTGAAGATAACAGGATTAAGAGATTAAAGTAAGACAGGCATAAGAAATTATAAGAGTATTACTTGGGAACTGATAAATGTCCATGAAATCTTCACAATTTATGTTCAGAGATTGAAGTAAAGACAGGCGTAAGAAATTATAAGAGCATTATTAGGGAAGTGATAAATGTCCATATTAAAATGAAATCTTCATAATTTATGTTCCTCTGCCTCGGCTCCAGCTGGTCCCTCCATTTGGGGTCCCTGACTTCCCACAACAGGCATGGTGGCAGGCACCTGTAATCCTAGCTACTTGGGAGGCTGAGGCAGAAGAATGGCTTGAACCTGGGAGGCAGAGGTTGCAGTGAGCTGAGATTGTGCCACTGCACTCCAACCTGGGCGACAGAGAAAGACTCCATCTCAAAAAAATAAAATAAAATTAAATTAAATTAAAAAGTCTTGATCCACGTTGCAAATATCCTAGTGGTGTACTAACAAAGCCAGAGGCCTCCTCAGACAGCCAGACACCTCAGAGGCAGACATATATGCAGAGGTAACTAATGGTGGCCTCACGAGGAAAGGGGGCAGCTACTCCATGAGCACAAGCTCTAGATACTTAGCCTTCAAATACTTCAAAAAACAAAACAATCCCTCGGGGAGAGATTTCCGAGCAAAACAAAACAGCCCATTTGTTTTTAGACTCCTGCTATAATGCTTTGCCTAAAGGTATTGGCCAAGGCGGGTGGATCACTTGAGGTCAGGAGTTTGAGACCAGCCTGACCAACGTGGTGAAACTCCATCTCTACTAAAAATACAAAAATTAGCCAGGCATGGTGGCACATGCCTGTAATCCCAGCTACTCAGGAGGCTGAGGCAGGAGAATCGCTAGAACCTGGGGAGCGGAGGTTGCAGTGAGCTGAGATCCACTACTGCACTCCAGCCTGGGTGACAGAGCAAGACTACCTCTCAAAAAAAAAAAAAAAAGAAAAAACGAAAAAAAAGAGGGGTTGTCCTTATTTCCCCTTTCTCCTTCAGCTGACTGGAACACAAACATGAAAGCTGGAATTCAAGCAGTCATATTGGACCTGAGAGAGAAGAGCTATGTTGAGGCTGGTGGAAGAAAAAGATAGATAGAAGGAACCTGAGTCTCTGACACTTAAACACTACACCAGCCCTAGGGTTGCATGTGAGAGAGAAATGAACTTCTATCTTGGTGGAGACACTGTTGTTTTCAGGGTTTTCTGTTTCTCACAGCTGAAGCTAATCCTAACCAAGCAGAACAAGCACAAAGTCATCAAAACATAAACTGGAGTTTGCAAAGCACATGTCACTTCCAAGCATCAGATACAGTAAAATGATGAGATGTTTTTCCCAAGCCCTGGCTCAGGACCCTCCCTAACAGCTCCCCGACAAGCCCTTTGTCTTCTTAGTAATCATGCCTTGCATGGTGCCTTTTCCAACATCATGCCCCTCCGTGGAGCTCATTAGTAAGGAGCAAGTGAGATTCTTTTTATTTATCTAATCAGTGAATTCCAAAAACTGACAAACAGGATAAAGAAGGAATACCAGCCACTGTTATGAATGTCAATAAGACATTTGTTCAGTTCAGGACCATCTCAATTTCAGAAGGGACCTGCATAGATTTATTTGCAGTAATAAATCAATAACAATTCAGTGGCAATTATACTTCCCAGTTTCCCACACTGCATCTATAGCTTCCAGGTACAAGTCTTAGTATCTTCAAAGCATTTGCAATAGCCATAAAATGGCTCTTTCATGACAGCAAAGTGGTGGCAGGCATTTCTACAGCTAAGGGGTGCCGAACACGTCTCATGCGTCTTTTCTTTATTGGTGAATGTCATGTTTGACAGTGATGTAAATGGAACAGCTATTATGAAAAACGTGCTTATAGTTTAGCCAAAGAAAATATGTAAGGGTAACATTGTAGGAGGGTGGAGTGTAAACATATGAAGAGTCTGGAACCCTGATGGCATCATTAAATGCTCAAACCAATGCTGGAAGCTGTCATCCTCAGATTTCTTATGAGAAAAATGAATTCCTGTTTATTTTAGCCCCTGTTTTTTGGGTTGTCTGGGCCTGCACTTGCAAGCATTTCTGCTGGATGCAGCAGGTCCCAGGAGGCCCTTTCAGACCTAGGGCATTTGGTTGCCTTTCCCACTCTGTGCCTTTGCTTATTTCTTTTTTTTTTTTTTTTTTTTTTTTTTTTTTTTTGACAGAGTTTCACTCTTGTTGCCCAGGCTGGAGTGCAATGCCGTGATCTTGGCTCACCGCAACCTCTGCCTCCCAAGTTCAAGCGATTCTCCTGCCTCAGCCTCCTAAGTAGCTGGGATTACAGGCATGTGCCACCATGCCCGACTAATTTTGTATTTTTAGTAGAGATGGGGCTTCTCCATGTTGGTCAGGCTGGTCTCGAACTCCTAACCTCAGGTGATCCGCCCGCCTCAGCCTCTCAAAGTGCTGGTATTACAGGTGTGAGGCACCACACCCGGCCATCTTTGCTTATTTCCTTTTTTTTCTTTTTTTTTTTTTTTTTTTTTTTTTTTTTGAGACAGGGTCTCATTCTGTCTACCAGACTGGAGTGCAGTGGCATGATCTCGGTTCACTGCAACCTCTGCTTCCCTGGTTCAAGTGATTCTCCTGCCTCAGCCTCCCCAGTAGCTGGGATTACAGACACGTGCCACCACACCTGGCGAATTTTTTGTATTTTTAGTAGAGACAAGGTTACACCATGTTGAACAGGCTGATCTCGAACTCCTGACCTCAAGTGATCCACCTGCCTTGGTCTCCCAAAGTGCTGGGATTACAGGCATGAGCCACTGCGCCTGGCTGCTTATTTCTTACGGGATCTCTCCAGTTTAGAGCAGAGGTTCTCAACACAGCCTGCACTTTGGAATTGCCTGGGGAAATTTTACACAAGTCCCTTTGCTCACGCCCCAAATGGGTTGAATCCAGATCTCTAAGGGTGAGCACAGGTGGGCATGACTATTTTTAACAGTTCTTCTAGATTAGTGATTCCCAATTTTTTTAAATCTCAATTTGAAAAAAATCTCTCAATGTTTTAAGAGTATAAATCCCTTAAATTACTGAAAACACTGAAAAGCTTTACTTACGATATTGTTATTGATATTTACTGTATTCAAAATTAGAACTGAAAAAGATTTTTAACATGTATTAATTCTTTTTAAGATAGCAATAACAGGCAAGGCTCAGTGGGTCACGCCTGTAATTCCAACACTTTGGGAGGCCAAGATGAGCAGATTGCTTGAGCTCAGGAGTTGGAGACCAGCCTGGACAAGATGGCAAAACCCTGTCTCTACAAAAAATACAAAAATTAGCCGGGCATGGTGGCTGGCGCCTGTAGTCCCAGCTACTTGGGAGGCTGAGGCTGGAGCATCGCTTGAGCCTGGGAAGCGGATGTTGCTGCAGTGAGTTGAGATCGTGCCACTGTGCTCCAGCCTGGGCGACAGAGCGAGACCATCTCAAAAAAAAAAAAGCAATAATAAACCACTTTTGTATATGCTTAAATTTGTCCATAATAAAAGTAAACAAAAAGGACTTTAAATAAATTACGGAAAATGTAGATCTTTAAATAATTAGAAGACCATCAACTTTATTTGGATCATGAGTCAAACACACACACACACACACGCACACACACACACACACACACACACAAAACCTACAAAACAATCTTGGAAATCTGAACACTGACTGGATATTTGATGACAACAGGAATGATTATTAAAATTGTGGTAACAGAATTGTGATTACATTTTAAGAGTAAACCAGTAAAATCTTTAACAAAGACACAAGGAGGGCCCATGGATCCATTATGTACAGTAGCCACAGTGCCTAGGGCCCACAATACTCCCATGGCAATGTTTACATTTCTTTTAAAATAGAAAAAAAATTAAGGTTGAAGAAAATATTTTAATATATAATATTAATATACTTGCCTGTGTATCAACACAATCATAAGTATGATTTCAAATTTATTGTTTAGAAAAGTGCATAGGGCCCGCAGAAGTCACAATGCAGCCCTGGATATAACGGCCATGAAAGTTTATGTGCTGAATCACAAAGTGGCAAAATATGAACTGGCAGAGATGTCGGCCTCTGAGGTTAGAGAGGTCATGGCCACAGCTGCTGAATGTGACTTTGGGTTGCCCATCCAGGAGATTGGGTGGCAGGGAGAGCAAATGTGATCATGAAGGTGCTGGTTGTATCACGCTGGTCAAATGCATACAAAGGAGTCTGTTTAGACAGAAGCGAAGAAGGGAAAGCAAGCGGACACCTCCTGGGGGCCTCAGGATCCCACATTATCTGGAAACAGTGCCCCCAACACCCCTCCACCTCCACCAAAAGGCATCCTACATACCTCTTGGTTGGTACACTGGGCCCTCAGCCACAGAAAATTGGTTCTCAGGGACAGAGATAACCCAAGCTAAGCCAATCAGATTGTCTCTCCATGACTCTGAACCATGGAGCCCAGAGACACAGAGGTCAAGAGCAGCTCTGCTGAGCGGTGGGTATCCACACTCCAGGGACAAAGTCCATGAGCCCCTGAGGTTCCCAGAACTGCTCTCAGTCTTCCCTATTGAGTCAACTCTGTCTTCAAATCCTGAGAAACCCAATATTTTTACAATCAATTCCTTTTGGAGCTTAAGCTATTCTGAATCAGATTTTGCGATTTGTAACAAGAAAATAATAATAGTAAGTATAGAGTTTTAACAGCACTAAAATCAAAAGTGGAAAAGGGACAGCAGCATGCCCCAGACACCCGCGTGTCAGCAATAACCAAGACATGGAGATGGAACCAAGACAGCTTGTCAGGTCCCTCCCCTCACTTTCCATGGCAAAGGCTGTCACTAAAGGGGGAATTATTCCTTTACAGAGCAAGTATTATCCCACTTTGCAGGTGAAGAAACTGATGCTGAGGTTAAGTGTGCAACTCAGAAGCAAAGCATCCCTGACAAGCTAAGGGAAGGAGAAGTCTCAGTTGGAAATACAGAGAGGCCTGCTGCCAGCTAGAATCGGTACTACCTTTGGCCCTAAGTCTGCTCAACCCACCCAAAACTAGACCACCTGCCACTCAAACTCTTTTGTCTGAGTCCCTCTCTCCCCAGGGCCCCAATCAAACAGGGTGCTATTTCTCATCTTCTCCCTAACCCTAATGTCTCTGAAACATGTTTGTTGGGTTTGGGGTTTGTTTGTTTCTATAGATTTGCAGTTCTAAAAGTAAGGAAAACCTGCAGGTATTAATACAAATAACCACAACTGGAAAGGGATGGAATTATAAGAAATCTCTCCCAGCATTAGTAATACCGGTATGCCTTATTTCATGAGGAGAGCAGGCCGATTACCTGACCCAACAATATAGCCCAGGCCCGGGGGAGATGTGAACACAATGAGGAAGATATCTCTATGACCCACATTCTTTGGCCTGAGGCTCTGCCGGAGTCCAAGCCTGTTATAGGTGAAGTGGCCAAGACCTGGAACATGACCTTTACATGAGCTGCTGTACAGCCAGTGTGGCTTTTATCTGTTGTACTTTGGGAAATCATCCATGCCTCAGGAACCAAAAGTCCTTCAACCTAGAGTAAGGCGTTTTTAATAGAAAGAGAGGCCAGATAGGCCAGGCGCGGTGGCTTACGCCTGTAATCCCAGCACTTTGGGAGGCCGAGGCGGGTGGATCACGAGGTCAGGAGATCGAAACCATCCTGGCTAACACGGTGAAACCCCGTCTCTACTAAAAATAAAAAAAATTAGCCAGGCGTGGTGGCGGGCACCTGTAGTCCCAGCTTCTCAGGAATCTGAGGCAGGAGAATCGCTTGAACCCGGGAGGCGGAGGTTGCAGTGAGCCGAGATTGTGCCACTGCACTCCAGCCTGGGCGACACAGCGAGACTCCATCTCAAAAAAAAAAAAAAGAGAGGCCAGATAATCCCAGCACTTTAGGAGGCTGAGGCAGGGGGATCTCTTGAGCCCAGGAGTTTGAGACCAGCCTCGGCAACATGGAGAAACCACGTCTCTACTAAAAATACAAAAAATTAGCTGGGCATGGTGGCACTCGCCTGTAGTCCCAGCTACTCAGGAGGCTGAGGGGGAAGAATCACCTGAGCATAAGAAGTCAAGCCTATAGTGAGCCATGATTGCACCACTGCATGCTAGCCTAGGCAAGGGGAGTGAGACCCTATCTCAAAAACAAAAAACAAACAAAAAAAGAGAGGCCAGAGCGAAGTACACAAAATGGATTGACCTGCTCCTGCCAACTGAGGGAAAGCCAGACAGGGTGATATGCTGGCTCTCGCTGAAGCTGAGAGCTGTGTTCATTCTACCATCCTGGCCGTGTGGGGAAAGCCCTAAAGGAGAAGCCCATGTAGATATCCTTGGTCTTTATTCAAGGACTAGCAGGACAGGTCTTCCCTACTGAGATGGCAGTCTGCTGTCAGTGCCAGTTCCCATGAAACTACTCTGAAGATGAAAGAAAAGATAACAGAAGGCCAGTTATAAGCACTTAAGGTGACTTCTGCTTACTCTAGGTTTGAGTTGAGAAACATAGCTATGGCCTACACATGTACAGTCTGTGAACTGCACAGCTCGACAGAAAGAAGCTCCAGTGTGGCCCTGATGCTCCCTGCTGACCACACCACACTTGCAGGAAAATGGGCTAAACAACCACAAAACAAGGTGGCCACAAGCTACTACACAGAAACTTATTTCTGAGGCAGCTGGAGCCCTTTGTTTGTTTGTTTGTCTGTTTGTGATGGGGTATCTCTCTGTCACCCAGGCTGGAGTGCAGTGGCAAGAGCATAGCTCACTGCAACCTCAAACTCCTGGGCTCAAGTGATCCTCCTGCCTGAGTCTCCTGAGTAGCTGCAACTACAGGCACATGCCACCATGCCCAGCTAATTTTTAAATTTTTTTTTGTAGAGAAAAAGGGCCGTGCGTGATGGCTCATACCTGTAATCTCAGCACTTTGGGAGGCCGAGATGGGCAGATCTCTTGAGCCCAGGAGTTCTAGACCAGCCTGGGAAACAGGGCAAAATCCCATCTCTACAAAAAATACAAAAACTAGTGGTACATGCCTGGAGACCCAGCTACTCGGGAGGCTGAGGTGGGAGGATGGCTGGAACCCACGGAGGTCGAGGCTGCAGTGAACCATGATCTTGCCACTCCACTCCAGCCTGAGTGACAGAGACCCTGTCTCAAAGAAAGAGAGAAAGAGAGAGAGAGAAGGAGTTTTGCTTTGTTGCCCAGGCTGAGAGCCTTGTTTTGACTCACTCCCTCCTCTGTCTCATCTCCACCCCCACCTGCCCTGGTCCATTCAAAACTACAAACCTCAGCATGCAAGACAGCCAAGGGAGGGCAAGAACAGCTCTGTGTAGCCCATGGCCTTCTAGGATATGTGGTGCTCCCAGGTACAGTGATATAAGTGGTCTGTAAGTTATTTTTATTTTATTTCACAAGTTATTTTTTAACCATAAGTTACAGATGCTAAAAATATAAGCCCAAAGCTGAAAAGCAGCTCCAAGGGTGTGACAGGACAGAGGACCCACCCCACAGCCCTCCCTCTATACATGATCTCCCACGCGGTGGCTCACGCCTGTAACCCCAGCAGTTGGGAGACCGAGGCGGGAGGATCATGAGGTCAAGAGATCAAGACCATACTGGCCAACGTGAGGAAACCCCGTCTCTATTAAAAATACAAAAATTAGCCAGGCGTGGCAGTGCACACCTGTAGTCCCAGCTATCCGGGAGGCTGAGGCAGGAGAATTGCTTGAACCTGGGAGGCAGGGGCTGCAGTGAGCCGAGATGGCGCCACTGTACTCCAGCCTGGGTGACAGAGCGAGACTCTGTCTCAAAAAACAAAAAAAAACATGATCTCCCTGTGCGCCCCATCCCAAACCCTCCTCTCCTTCGCCACCATGCCAGCGCACAATTCCATCATATCCCTTGCCTTTTCAAACACCATCTATGACTCTTAGTTTTTGGGTTCAAGTTCAACTCCTTCCATAATCAGTCAATACTTTTCAGAATTTGGCCCCTCCAACAAGAGTTTATGTTCTGCCCCAATCAAACCCAAAGTAGTTCCCTAAAGCCTCTGCCTTTCTCTTCCCTATCTCCTCCCACCCCACCCAGAAGCCTCCATTGCCCACCAGCCAATGGAGACACTGCCACTACCCACAGGCCCAGAGGCCTGGGCACTTGCCCTGTTCACACCCAGCCCCACCCCAAAACCCCGCCTCTACAGCCCTGCCCTTAAACCCCTCCCACCCTTCCTTAGAGCCTGGCTCTAGCTTTCTGGAGGGGAGGAAGAAGTTAGCTGCCAAGAGAAGGCTGTGGGCCTGGCCTCCTCAACAGCAACTTGGCACAGACTCCCTCGTGAAACTGTTAGATGGGGTTGGTTGGCAGCACTGTGTAATTAAATAGGCTTTTGTGGATTGGCCTGGGGACTTAGCCGCCGTATATAAATGTTATTCGAGTGACTGTACAGCATTGTTTCCATGCAGAAAAGCCCTCGGAACTCAGAGCATCTGACCAAACGTGACCTTTGGGAAAGTCCTCTTGCTGTTCGGGGGGCGACCTCTGCGGGTTTGGCTCCAGCTGCAGAAAGAGCGCCAAAGAAACCTCAACTCCAGCCCGGCTAGGCTGGGAGTGGGTGCGGGAGAAACAGATGGGGGGCACCTATTTAGATCTGATCTTCTCTTAATGTGACCCTGAGAGGGAGGGAAGGGGGTGTCTGAAGCCCCTGGGCCTTGGATATTGAGATGGAGAGCATGGGTGATCCCAGAAAACCTATCCACCACCGGACCCCTGACAGATGAGATCAGGGGCTTCTTCCTCCATTCGGCCTTCGGGGTCAGGGGGTTCAGCGGGTGACAAGGGAGAGGCGTCTGAGGGACCGGGATTATTCAGCTGACCCGGTGCGGGGCCGCGTTCTCAGCGCGGGCACTAGGGGGCGGCAGAGGCGGAGGCGCCAGCGCCGAGGAGAGGCTTCCACCCTCGAGAAGTTTTTCCGCGCACCCGCCCGGGCCAGAGTGGCCGTCTAGACGCCCACGTGGGGCTTCCTGCGATCGAGAATGGGTTGGGACCGGGACGGCCAAGCCGATGCTGTCGGGGACACGCTGGGAGGAAGAAGTACGGGGAGGAGGGGCGGGGGCGCAGCCTACCCGGGCTCGGGCTCGGGGTGAAGGGCAGCCCTGCCAGGCCCGCCCCGAGGCCGCGGATGCGAAACCGGGACACAAAGGCACGCACTCTTGATTCTGGCGCCCGCGAGGAAGAGGGTTGAGGAAGAGGAAATTGGGATGAGGCCCTGGAACACGTTTTAATGCAGCGCCCTGACAGGCAGGAGCCAGGCAATACTGCTTGGGAATGTGAAGCCCCATGGGCACCAGCTAGGGGGTCCCGGCTGCGCGGCCAGCCTTGGAAGAGAGGACTTCTTGGACACCTAACCCGGAGGGAGCAGAGCTTCTGAGTGCCCAGGAGAGGGAGGCTAGGGAAGTGGGGGACAGTCAAGAGTGGGGGGACACAGGCAGGGACTGTGCGACTCCACCCAACACAAAGACTCAACGAGTATGCACGTGACTACACGTGAGTGTGGAGGGCTTGGCCACAGCCCTGTCTTCATGACAGCACAGCACAAGGCTGATGGGGAGGGATAAGGTGACCAGAGGTACAGATGCAGTAAATGTCTTGGAAGTGGGCCTCAGCCTCCCCATTTACAGAGATTAGACTGGGCTATGTAGCACCGTCCCACCCACACCGAGAAGCAATCGCACACCCGTGTCAGAAACTGGAGCCATAGGGACCCCAAACCCCTACCTGGTGTCCCTGGGGCATTGTTTGTAATTTTATGCTAGTCACCCAGGCTTTGTAAACTCTGGGCCCTGACACCCCAGCTGGACAGGGCTTGCAGGGTATCTGGATTAAGCCATACAATTCTGGTAACCACTTAGCTGGGAAGAGGAAGCATCAGATGGGTGTCGAGGGAGACTGAAATAACAACACAAGCAGTGACACAGACACCTGGGAGGAGACAATCACATTATTTAACCATCAGTCAGCATGGAAGCTGGGCACAGGGTCCTGGGAGTCCCTTCCATATGCCACACATTAACCCTTTAATTGCAGGATCAGGGAAAGTGAGGGGTGCCCAGGGGAGGGACAGGGGTGGCAATGAACATACTCAGTGGCTCAGGGCCATGGCAATTTACCAGCCAATATAGAAGAATTTTAATATTCCAGCCATCTGCGGGATGCAGCCCTGCACACACCCCACACTATTCCGTTTCTTCCCTGGGGGAGCATCCTGGCCCTCAAGTAGCAGGCAGTGCCTGCCAAACCCAGACCAAGTGGAAGAGACAGTGGGCACATGGGCCAGGCAGCCAACACCTGTGGGTTAGAGAGCCCCACCCTGGCAGAGTCAGAGCCCTGAGGCCAGGGAGACCACATATTCCAACTTTCACAGTGGGTGCGACAGGTGAGGTGGGAGGAAGGTGGGAGGGAGGTGGGGTTCAGCCCTGAAACCCCCCTACACACAGTCACTGAGGAAAGTCCTGACTCCAGGATGTGGGTGCCGGAGCCCACCCCCGAGACCCCTGTCTTCAACATCTGCTGATTTTTGTTGGCGTTTCTCTTTTTTGTTATTTTGCTTTCCACACTTTAAATAATTAATACAATTACTTTTAAATACAAAATACGCCATGTCCTTTCTCTTCTCTTCCATTTGTTTGGGGTGATTGGGAGGTGAGTTTTAAATAAGGGTCTCAGCTCTCTAACGGGTAACAGGCTCCAGGTGGGAGGGCCAAGAGCCCCAGATGCCACTCCTCCCGTGGGGTGTCCAGGCAACCACTTCACCCCTCCCCTGGCCTGCCCCGACTGAGGGCTCTCCACGCCCTGGCCCAGGGCTCCCTAGATAGTGAGGAGCCCTCTTGGGAGGTGGCACAGAGCTGATGTTGTGGGATTCCAGGTGGGCCTGGTTCCGAATGGACAGGATCAGACAGAGACGGTCCTATCCCATGAAGCAGACAGGCCCCAGCAGCACCCCTCCCCGCCTCGGTGGGGCTCCCAGGTCTGAGAAGGAGGCATCCAGCACTGGCAGCTGCTCCAGCACAGGCGTTCGCACCTCCAGCACCGTCCGGCCTTGCTGTGTCTTCAGGGGGAGACAAGGAAGAAAGTGTGAGCAGGATGGAGGCACCCCCCACCCTCTAACCTCAGGCCCAGGCTCACCTCTCCTCTGAGCACCTTGGCCCCATCAGGGTGACTCAGGATGTACAGACTGGCAGTGTCTGTGTGCCCATGCGTGTGTGTTTGCTTCTCCCCCACCGTGTGCCTCTGCTGGGCAGCCATGTGCCAGTCTGTGTACACGTCTGCATTAACCTGTGTGACGCTGGTGTTTGTACCCAAGTGAACCTCACCCGATGGCTTCCATCCTTTCCACCTTCCTCACCGGCTTTTGAGCTCCCTCAGGCATCCCTGACAATCCAGCAGGACGGACTCCTCCCTGCTCCCCCTGGGTGCCCTGCCCAAGGGGTCTTCCCACCTCCTTCCTCCAGCCTGAGTCTGAGATCAGCCCCCAACCCAGCTCTTCCTGTTCCCACCTGGCAGCCATCTCTGAATTCTTTGACATAGGGGCTAGTCTCCGGGCTCAGCTCATCCTCATTGGCCCCACGGAGTCTCAGGGGACCGTCACGGGCTGCTCCAGAGCAGGGGTAGGAGACGTCCTGGTGGGCTGAGACGCTGAGCAGCCGCAGGAAGGTGAGCTGGACCACACCCACTGGGGAGCCCTCTGAGTCCACGTAAGAGAACTGGAAGGAGAGAGAGGGCTGGCCTCAGAGGGGGAGAGAGAGGGCTGGCCTCAGAGGGAGACAGAGACGGGCCTCAGGAGCATCTACAGCACCAGGACAGCTGAGCCAGAGTCATGAGCAGGGAATGGCTGGAAGGCAAGGGCTGGGAAAGAAGTGAGGGGCTGAGTGGGAGCCAGGAGACTGGGGGTACACGAAAGGCAAAGTGAGCATCAGAGGACCGGTGAAAAGGAAAAGAAGAAAGAGCTAAGAAGTGGAGAAGGGGTGGCAGGCTCCGGGGGGGGCAACAGCCAGGGGACTGTCACCAAAACCCAGAAACCACTAAGCCCTGAGGGGGTGCACTATGGGGCAGGGGAGGGGCAGCGAGGGGCCAGCTCTCACCTGCGTGACGTCATCCCTAGGCGTCACACAGGTCTCACCCCCTGCTGTGAAGTTGCAGAAAACTCGGAAGGCATCCCGAGCACAGCCCTGGTTGGGGTCGACCCAGTACTCTCCTGTTGGGTGAGGGAGAGGGGAGGTCAGGGCCACCTAGGTCCAGGCTCCAAGATGCTCTTTGCCCCCACATTCCCTCTTCCCTCCCAGCCCTCCCCATCATGCTCTTAGTCTCCTGGTCCTCCTCCCTCCCAGAGCCCTAGAATCTAGCCCTACTGCTGGATTCTACTGCAGCATCCTACTGCTGCAGCTCACTTTCATCACGTGACACCTCTGCCCCCAACAGTAACCCCAGGCCCTCTGACTGGAGGAGGTCCGAGTATGGACAGCCTCATACTGGGACAACATGTGGTTGCAGGCGCTCACACAGATTCATCTGTTCAGGTGCAAACAGGTGTGTGCACGTATGTATGTTTATCTGCTCCTGCAGACACTGGGCTGATAACCAACTGGTACACACTGACCCAGATCAGTTGCTAAAGTATTGGGATACTTCTGACCTGGTTAGTAAATAGCTGCAGTTCCCAGCCCCTCAGCCCTCACCCTTAACCCAACACCTTCACCAAGACTCCCCCAGCATCCATTCTGCTTGTTCAGTACCCATGCTGTTGGGGAGATGTTTGTGCACCCTGAGGCTAGCACTGACCATCGGGAAGCTCTGGGTGGCACAGCTTCAGGTCCTGGCAGGTGCGAGCAGGGCTGTCCTGGGTCCCTGTTGGCCGCCTCATCTGCTCGATCTCCTCCCGCAGGGAGTCGAGTGAGCCAAAGATCTCCTCCAGCCCCCCAGGACTGCCGGGGGCTCCCCCGGTCGGTATGGCCTCATCTTCCTGCATCAGACGGCTTCCATCCACCGAGCGCCGAGTCTTCTTGGGCATCTGAATGGGCAGTGGCTGGATCACCTCGCCTGGGGGACCCTGGGTGCAGGGACAGATGGAGAGGGCAAGAGACAAGGTTGGTGTGAGGGTGAAGTGTGGCAGCAGTGGAGCAGAGGGGTACGGCCCTGGGAGCAGCCCTGACTCCTCACTCACCGGGTGTCCTGGAGGGCCCTGCACACCCTTCTCTCCCTTGGGTCCGCCTGGGCCCTGACAAGGAATAAATCAGGTCATGGAGGGGTCAAGAGGTCAAGCATGGATCAAGGTCACAGAAAGATCAAATCAGCCTCCTGGCTGGAATAAGGGGCTCCTTGGGGGGAGTCTATTTGTCCTGGAGAGACATCATCAAGTCCAGAGGGGGTGGAGCAAAGGTCAGAGCTGAAGGGGGTCACTCACTGTGGCTCCTTTGGCTCCTTTGGGGCCAGCAGGTCCCTGTGAAATGAGGAACAAGAAAGAGACGGTCACTGCAGGGGAAGGACAGGACTCAGAGGAGCGGGGAGGCAAGGTCCCAAGTCCACAGGAGCCTCGGGTTACTACAGGAGGGGCAGTCCTGTGGGAATACTAGGACATTCAGAGCCCTGGAAGTATGGGGAGGAGGTACTGGTGGTGACAGGACAAATGGGGGACCCTGAGGACTATGCTTGTTAGGCTGGTAGTTCCATGGAAGTCGTTGGGAGGCTGTGGGTGGGCAGCAGAGGGGTTTAGGGGATTTTGTGGAGGAACAGAGGCAGTACTCACGGGGAGGCCGGGGGGACCTCCAGGACCAATGGGGCCGGATGCTCCTGGGATACCCTAGGAAGGGTAGTGGCTGGTTCAACTGGGTCCTCCTCCCACACCCTCATGAGCACCTGCTCGCTTACCCACAGCTGAGTCCCAACTCCAACTCCACCCCTCTCCACCCCACTCTCAACCCCCACAACTTCCGGGACCATGCCCTCTACTCACCATCTCACCCTTCTGCCCAGGGGAGCCCTGAGGCCCAGGAAGTCCCCGATCTCCCTTCTCTCCCTGCTCACCCGGGGGCCCAATCAGTCCAATGAGACCTGGGTGGCCCTAGAGAAGGGTGCAGGCAGTCAAGAGAATGCAAAGAGGAGTCATGTGGATGGGGGAGAAGGGCCAAGAGGACATGGAGAGGGAGCCGGGCACAGGGTCCGTGAGTGGCCCTCACTGAGCAGGGACTCCCTGGGACTGGCTGCCGGAGGCCTGAAGCAGAGCAGTGGGCACTTGGGTCCCACAGGTTTCAGGGGCGAGGGTGATGGGAGAGACACCTGGCCACGTGTCTGTCTGTCACTCACCTTCTCTCCCTTGGCTCCAGCATCGCCCCGGAGACCAGGCAGCCCTGGGGGTCCCTGTGGAGAGATGGGAAGTCATTCTCTTAAGGGAGAGGTGGGACCAAGTTCTCCCCAACAGCCTCCACTTCCTCCAGGGCTTCAGCTCTGTCCCAGGGCACTGCCCTCACCCCTCACTCAGCCCAATCCCAGTCACTCACCACAGGACCTGGGGGCCCAGCCTGGCCTGTAGCTCCAGGTCGGCCTTGCTGACCCTGAAGATTTGAGGGGGCCACAGGGGTCAGGAGGAGCATCCCCACACTGCACCCCTCCCATGGCCCCTCACTCCCACCCCAGCCCAGCCCTTCCCTGCAGTGACTCACCACTGAGCCTGGGAGCCCCCTCAGACCATCAGGGCCAGGTTTCCCTGCTGGGCCTGCAGGACCCACCGGGCCTGTCTTCCCCGGGGCACCTATAGCGCCAGGATCTCCCTGAAACACACACAAGGAATGTGTCCTGAATGGCAGAGGAGTGGGGTGTGGGCAGGGGGCAGAGGGTCCAAGGTGGGAGGTGGGAGGCAGGGAGGAAGGGCCAAACTCTAGGAGCCCCTAGCGCAGGAACAAGTACAGGGAACGCCTGTCCCCATAAGGGCCCAACATGGGAGAGGTGGAGATGGGGTGGGCATCTGGAGACGGAGGCATCTGAGGGGTGGGAGGCGGAGGGGATGCTCCAGCACTAGGGCAGCCTGTCCCTCACCTTGGCTCCCTTCCCTCCTTGTCGCCCCTCGGAACCAGGCGAGCCAGCAGGACCCTGCAGGTGGAGTGGGAAGGAAGAGCACATGAGGCCGTGGGCAGCCAGGCTCAACTCTTCCCCCTTCCTGTCCTAGACACACACATACACATGCACACACACACGTGCATACACAGGGACACGCGCCGAGGGCCGATTCACAGATGTGCAGAACAGATACAGCTGTGACAGTTGTGAAAATACTGGGTAGTCTGTACATTTGGTGAAGGGCCACTTGCCCACACCCTACCTGGTGGCCCGTCTCCTGCCCCAGAAACTAAAAAGGTTCACCCCTGGCCCACAGAAAAGCTGGCCAGCCCCTCCTCCAGTTTCCATTCTGCTTTGTCAGTAACGACCACTACCCCTGGTGAAAACATACACACCAGAACCCAGGAACAAACATGCCCGAGATACCGCACACCCATCAACCCACCAGCTCCTGCACACACACTCGCCCAGTGCAATGAGATACCGCATACCCTTAAACCCACCAGCTCCTGCACACACACCCTGCCCCGGGCAATGAGATACCACACACCCTTAAACCCACCAGCTCCTGCACACACACACACCCAGGGCAATGCAGACACCAGGCACCTCCCCACCCATCCCACCTGCCATTGCCCAGCCTCCACCCACACAGCCCAGGGACTGCCTCCCAAGGTCTCAGGGGTCCACCTCACTTACTCGCTTTCCAAGTGGCCCTGGGGGTCCATTCTCCCCGGTGGGACCAGGGGATCCCTAGGGAGAGAGGAATTGGGGTGGCTGAGTGTTTATCCTCCAGCCAAGGGACCCCTCAGGAGTGGGGCACAGAAGAGGGGTAAAGAGGATGAGGCTTGGGCTCAGGGGGGTGGTGGGGTCACCAGGCACTCACAGGCTGTCCTGGCTCACCATCCTCGCCTCGGTCACCCTTAGCACCATCCTGGCCCTGCAGAAGTGAAGCAAGGTCAGAGGTGGGCCCCCAACTTGGCTGGCATCACCTCCAAAACTGTCAATACCCCATCCCCTTGCCCACCCTGCCATACCCCCAGCTTCCCAATACCCAAGCCCAGCGGCCACACAGAGGACCCCCCCCATAGAAGCCCCACCCTTTTTGCCCCTTCCCTTCTCTGAGTAAGACTCACCCGAGGGCCACCTTCTCCAGGGGGGCCAGGGTCACCAGGAAAACCAACAGGACCCTGATCCAGATGGAGAATAAGAGTCAGGGTCACAGCTCCCTAAGCCCACCCAGCACAGACGCCCACAGGCACACGCCACTGCCTCTCTAGAGGCAGTGCCCACCAGTACCCCCCAGGAAGAGGTCTCCTGCACCCCTTTCCCTACCACGTGCACTGCGTGTTGTCTAATTCCTCAAGGTATTAACTGCAGGGCATCTCTCACTTTCTCTCCGGATCCTAGACCCCAGGCATCCCTCTGGATGCCCCATTCCCAGAGCATCCCCCAAACTCCCGGGCTCCCCACACTCCAAGATCCTCCCTCACACACACCCATATTCCCAGGTCTGTCATTCACAGGGCCTGAGAGGACTCAGCCCCCACTGCCCCAAACTCACAGGGTTCCCTTTGGGGCCATCATCGCCTGTGGGGCCTTTAGGCCCTGGTGGCCCTGGCTCTCCTGGCTGCCCCGACTCTCCTTTCTCTCCACGTTCCCCGCGTGGACCCTGCAGAACAAGCGGAGGACACAGATGGCCCAGGGAATCTTGAAGATCAGGGATGCAGCCTCTGCTTCCGAGACACCTTCAGCCATCCCCTACTCCCCTCAGTGACAATGGGACATACACAGAAAGTCAAGCCTATAAGGGGAGTTCCCTAGTCCCCTTCCCTTCAAGAAAGGGGAAGAAGGGCTCACTCAGACCAGGGATCAGGCCTCATAGAGGATGGCAGGGAGCAGAGACTCTTGCTGCAGAGGAGTTCCAGCTCAAGGAGGTCACAGGAAAAGTGGAGGCAGGGTTGAGGCGGGTGACGGGGACTGGGGAGTAAGGCCTTGGAGCTGTCACTCACCTTGACACCTGGCTCGCCCTGGATCCCTGGAGATCCTGACTCTCCTGGTTCCCCCTGCAAAGAGATTAGAGTCAAAAACCTCCTCTCCTTCCCCAGCCAAAAAATTCTGATATTCCCCATATCTCATTCTCTTTTGTCTCCCCACCCAAAATTGGCAGAAATCCAACTCCCATCCCCCACTTCCATGACTGGTCCACTCACCCCCTTCCCAGTTACCTTCTCTCCAGGGGGACCCAGGTTCCCAACACCTCCTGGGGGACCTTGTGGGCCCTGGAAGAGGAACAGAAATAGGTGTCATTGCTTAGGATGGAGGTGCCATTTCAGGGGCAAAGTCCCAGATGAGCAGCCCAAGGTTACAGCAGTGAGGCAGTGGAGGCCTCCCGGGAGTAAGGGCTTCTCTTGGCCCCTGAGACGATACTAGAGTTTATGGTCTGGGAAAGGGAGGCAGAAGACCAGACACATTGGTCTCAAGGGACAGGGGCTGAGATGACTCACATCAGCGCCATTGGGTCCAGCTGGACCTCGAGGTCCTGGGGGGCCAGGTGGTCCCTGGGGGAAACAGATACACCACAGATGAGGAAGGGAAGTGAGATGGCTGAGCATGAATGGTGGAGAGAGGAGGAGGAGCAGCCAGGCCAGGGAGTTGGCAGTGGGGTGTGGGGTGGGGGCTGGCCAGGGAGGGGGGTGACTAGTATGGTGGCTAGGGTCAGTAGGGGTCACACTCACCATAGGACCCACATCTCCTGTTTCTCCCTTCTCCCCAGAGGGGCCTGGCAAACCCTGTGCAAGTATACAAAACATGGGCCCAGGTGACGACCCCACCCAAAGCACAGCCCTAGGCAGATAGGCCCCACAGTCCCCTCCCCTCAGACTCCGCAGGCCCTCCAGTCCGCATCGGCAGGCTGCTGGCAGAGTCTGGGGCAAAACATCACCCCATCCTGACCCCACCTCTCAGCCCCTGTCCTATCCCCCAACACACCTGTAGGCCAATGGGTCCTGGGGGCCCATTGAATCCTCTTGTTCCTTCATCACCTTTGGCTCCAAAGTGTCCCTGGGGTCCCCGAGCTCCAGGCTCCCCATCTGCTCCCTGCAGGGTTGAGGGAAAGCAGAGACAAGGACACAGGGATGGGTCATGGGTCGGTGTTCTCTATCCACAAATACCACACACAGCTGGGTGCCAGGCCCAGAGCCCCTGCTCCCACTCCCAGCCACAAGGGCAGAGGGGAGCTGAGGGAGGACCAGAGGCTGCTGGGCCTTCGGTGGGGGTGGAGGGGTCACTCACCGCTGCTCCAGGCTGCCCCACAGGACCAATGGGTCCAGGGGGTCCAGGAGGGCCCTGGGTAAGAAAAGAGAGTCAGAGACACCAAAACAGGGAGAGAGATCAGGTGGGACTGAGGTTAAAGGCCAGGAGGTCAGAAGTCAAGGTCATGGACACTTACATGTTCACCCTTGTTCCCTTTGGTGCCCTTCTGTCCGGGGTCCCCCACCTCACCCTGGGAGGAGAAGGCAGACAAGATATTAGAGAAAGGTGATGGGTAGAGTGGGAAGGATGACATGACAGGGGCCAGGGGTCATGCCCAGGTCAGCCATCTCATCTGGAAAGAAGATTGGTCGGGGTCTGTGGGGTCCCCTCACCTTGTCTCCATCCTCTCCAGCCACACCTGGAGGCCCAGCAGGACCAGGAAGCCCCACAGGACCCTGCACTCCATCTCGGCCAGTTGGGCCAATGGGGCCCTTCTCACCCTGTGGGACAGGAGGAAGGAGTCATGGCCTGGAGGTGACCCTCACCCTCAAACACCCCACAGGAAACTTGTCATAGCCCATCAACCCTAGGCTCACAGACCCCTCCCCAGTACCCCTCCCCAAGACCCCCACACTCACTGGGACACCTTTCTCTCCTGCTGCTCCAGGGGGACCCTGCGGGCCTGGGCGCCCTGGCGGACCAATGGGTCCCCCTGATCCTGCTGCACCTCGTTCCCCAGGGGAGCCCTGAGAAAGCAGATGGTCAGACCCCCAGGAAGGAGACACCAGCCCGCCCATACCAGAGAACCTCGGACCACAATTCCCAAAAGCTCCCAAAATCAGATGCATTCTGGCTGTCCCTGGACAGCCTCTGCCCAGCCCCACAGCCCCTGGTGGTATCAGAATGCCACTCCCACCCTTCCTCACCCACCCCTTTCCCGGGTCCTTCCTACCACTTCCGGAACCCCAGACTCACTGCAGGGCCAGGGGGGCCAGACGGACCTTCATTCCCCTTCAAACCAGGTCCACCCTATGAACCAGACATTTGGGGAAGATGAGACTTCACGAAAAGAGAAGGGTGAGAGCTGGAGAGGGAAGACAGGCTCCAAAAGATGGAAGTGGGGAGTGACATGGAGGGGGTCAGGGACAGGGTCGGGGGGGGGACTCAGGATGCTTGGTGCTTGTGACAGGCAGGGGTCTGGGAGTCACACTCACAGCAGTGCCTGGGAGGCCTCTCTCTCCTGGGAATCCCCTCAGACCAGCAGGACCATCCTTCCCTGGGGCCCCAGGGGGACCAGGGTCACCCTAAAAGGAAAGGAGAGGTGATGAGCCACAGCCATGCTCCCAAATTAAACAGAGAGCTCTCCAGCCCCCCCTCAAATCTCCAACTACCTGTTCCTTTCAGCACCCCAATCCCCAGCTCCCCCACTTCCCCTCTGCCTGGCCCCTCACTGACCTTTGTTCCTTCTTTTCCAGCTGTCCCAGGTAGTCCCTGCTCTCCAGGGGGCCCCGGGGGGCCTGGGTGACCTCTCTCCCCCATAGGGCCGGTTTCTCCTGCTGCTCCCTAGACAAAAGCAGAGAGAGTTCCTGCTCTCAGGCCCTTCATCTCGCTGTCTGCCAGAAGAGCCCACCCTGGCCACCCTAAAACACTCCTTCAGAACCCCTTTATCCCTGCCCCAAAGCTCCTGGGAAATTCCCCGGCATTCCTGGGCCACTGCTGGGTTTTCTCCTGCCCCATGTGGAGTAACTACACCACCTTGTGTCTCTGTTGGGGAACTGCCTCTCCTGGGGGACAAGACGATGAGAATGCGCCCCAAAACAGACTGAAGTTCAGGACCCCTGCCTGAAATCCCAGCCCCCACCATTGACCCCAGCCCCAGGAGTCTGGGTCAGGTGGACCGGGGCAGGGGCGTGTGACCGAGAGAAGAGGGGCAGACAGACTAATGCTAGGGTCAGGGGTCCATTCTCTCCTAGGGACAAACCTACCTGAGGTCCCACCACTCCTGGAGGACCAGGGGGGCCGGTCTTCCCTTGGAAACCCTAGGCGAGGAAGAGAGGAGAATGCAGTGAAAGCAGGTGTGGGCGCTGTGGGGCAGATTCCCAGGAGGAAGGATCCCAGGCAGGATCACACCGAGCCCTGGGCCCTGGGTCTGAGCAGCACCAGGGCAGGCTCCACTCTGCCAGGAGAACGTCCCTGTGGGCTTTCCAGACAGCTCTGGGGTTAAAGGGTCTGATGGAGCCCCCTGAGAATGGGTAGCCAGGAGCATCACTCACCACTTCTCCTCTTTGGCCTGGGTGTCCCGGCAGCCCGTCCTTCCCAGGGGGGCCCTGGAAGGGGTTCAGTTGTCAGGTGAACTCTCAGCTGGAAAGCAGGTAGGGAAGAAGGACTCAGAGAAGCGAGGGGGGTCAGAGCTCGGGGTCAACTTACCGGGGGTCCTTTCGGTCCAGGAAACCCGTTGGGACCCTGAGGTCCAGGGAGGCCCTAGAGACAGAGGTGGGGGGAGTCAGGAGAATGGGGGCAGGGGCTGAGTGGGGGAATTCAGCTTCCTTCCTGGGGTGAGGAGGGAGCTGGCTCACCCAGGCTCCCTGGGGACCTCAGGGGAAGGGGACTTTCGATCCACACTTACCCTCTCTCCAGGGGGCCCATGGGGGCCATCACCACCAGATGTTCCCTGTGGGGGGAAACAGAGTCAAGGAGTGGGAAGAGCTGCTTTCCAGCTGTCCCCGAGGTCAGGATGTTGAGGGAGAGCTGGGGCTGAGTGGGCAGGGGGCAGTTGGAGCCTTGTAGAGACCATTCACCTTAGCTCCAGACTTCCCAGTGGCACCTCGGGGTCCCCGCTGACCCCGTGGACCCTACAGAGGGAAGAGGAGTTGTCAGAGAAACCCAAATGCCCCCCTCTGGACCTTGAGCCACCTGTTTCTCTCCCCTGCACTCACCGTGGGGCCCCGTTCTCCCCGAGGCCCTGACTTCCCCGACAGGCCCTGGTGGGAATGAAGCAGAGAGAACATTACCCAGGGTGAGACTCCCCACAGACCCCCTCTACACCTCTCCAGCCCTTCCCTTCTCACCCCCTCCCACCCCCCAGCTTACCCGGGCTCCCTTCTCTCCACTGGCACCAGGAAAGCCAGGAAATCCTAGGGACCCCTGGTGAGAACGGAGAAGGGGGGAAATTGAGAAGTTATGAAAGGTAGGGTTCAGGAAGGGGCAAAGGGGGTCAGGAGAGGCCACAAAGGCAGTGGCCAGGGAGACCCGAGCTCTGCCAAGAACTAAGTGGCCTTGGACAAACCCCTGCTGCTCTCTGGGCCTCTTTCGGTCATCTGTAAAATGGGGGTCAGCTAAATTCCCTCTGGGGTCCCCCACTGCCCTGCATCTGTGCTTTCTGGAATCAGGGATCAGGGAAGGGAAGAGGAGGAGGGAAGAGGAGGAGGGGCACGTATGGGGCATGGCATCACCTTGGGTCCCTGACGTCCAGGATAGCCAGGCAGACCAGGAACACCCAGCTTGCCCTGTGGAGGGACAGGAAGCAGTTAGGAGTGAGAGGAGGCCCAGATGCCACTCCACCCCTGGAGACCTCAACCCTCACATATAACAGCCAGCCCCCACCCAGCAACACACCCCACACACCCCAGCCTCTAGCCCCTCATTGCTTGCCCCACAGCTGCCTGACTTTTGTTGTCTCTCCTTCCCATGAGTGGATTTTCCCCAATTCTAGTGCTGGGATCCCACCTCCCCTGCGCCTACAGAGGTATCAGGTCCTTCAGGGTCACTGTGATCTAGCTGCTTCCCACATGTCAACCTCAGCTCCATCTACCCCATGAGGGAGGTGGGATCTACCCCAGCACCCACTCCTGCTTCACCAAGACCAATCCCCCTGCAGGCCCTTTGCCCACCACACCCCGACTCCCGTGCATGCCCCCTTCCCCAGAGGCTCCAGGGCTCACCCTGCCCAGGCAGCTGCAGAGCAGGGCTTAGAAGCAGAGATTCTGAAGCCAGACTGCCTGGGCATAACCCCTGGCTCTGCCCTTCACTGGCCATGTAATCAACAAGCATCCCTGTGCCTCTGTAAAACCTCAGCAAAACAGTACGTCACATGCCTACCTCATAGGATAGATAGGACGCATCAGCACAGCACCTGGCATAGGGCAAGTGCTGGGGAGAGTCAGCTCTGGAGACCACAGACCTCACTGCTATTAGACTCTCTCATCTCAGAACTCCTGCTGCTTGGAGTCCGAACGCATGTTCACTCTGCCTTGAAGCAACAGCTACTCTCTAAGCTTCGTCTCCGTCCAACTCTTCGTGTCAGGGACTTTTCCCTGACTTCTTATATATCCCCTCTGCCCATCAGCAGCTGAGAGATGCCATTTACACAGACAGAAGTATGACTAATGCATGGCCATCTTCAACTGACTGGCTGACTTCAGCGGCGGGCACCCATGCCCATCCTGACCCCAGTGCCCACACCCCCAGAGGACCCAGGCACAGAACCCTCATCCCATCACCTTCTCGCCCATGAGCCCTGGGGGCCCAGGGTCTCCAGTCGGTCCAGTGCGTCCCTTTGGCCCCTCAGGACCATCCTCTCCCCTGGAACCAGGGACTCCAACTTCGCCCTGTGTGAGAGGGAAGGACAGGTGAGTGCTGGGGACTGGAGGTGGGCTCTGGGCCCAGAGGAGAAATGGGCAACAGTGAGGCTGAGGAGGGCTAGAGGGGTCCCAGGAGCCACTGCAGGACAGGAAGCCCACAGGGTAGGGATAGTGTAGTGATGGGAGGGCAGGCATGACACAGACCATGGGGCTATCATCCTGTAGGGGTCAGGCTCCCAAGGGAACACAGCACTGGAACTGTGGAGTCTGGAGACTCAGGAGAATAAACCGGTGCTTGGCGTCTCCAGAGTGGAGGCTCAGTAGAACACGGAATTGGGGCCAGTGTGGGGTCTCTACTCACCCTGTCACCTTTCACGCCTATGTCACCTTTGAACCCAGGAAAGCCATCCTCACCCTGAGAAAGATAGAGGTGAGAGGGCACCACAGATGACAGAGGGCTGGGGTTCTAATGGGAATTCTGAGAACATAGGTGGAAGCAGGGGCTCGGGAGCTGGACGGCAGTGCGGGGCAGGCTGGAGGGAAGGCAGTGAAGAGAGGAGATGGCAGGACTGAGGTGCTGGGAAGCTGGGGGCATGGTGCTCACCTTCTCACCCTTATGACCCTTCAGACCCCGAATTCCGTCCACACCCTAGAATTAGAGAGGGGATAGAAGTAGACTGATCAGGGGATGGAGGTGGGTTGGAAGGACCAAGCTCCTAAGACCCCATATAGCTCCCCTGACCACAGCCCTTTGTCTCCCAGCCTGGTGGTCAGTTACCTTGACCCCTCGAGGTCCTGGGTATCCTAGAGGTCCCTGAGGTCCAGAGGGACCCTGGAAGATAAAAGAGAGGCATTTATAAAGGGGCCTCAGAGTGTCACTGTGGGGGCCTCCAGGGGTGGAAGAAATGGAAGTAACAACATTGCTGTCTGGGTAGGGTTACAGGGCACAGGAATTGAGAATGTGGCAGAGCCATATGAATAATGAGACAAGGGAATCCCAAGGACTTTGAGGCTCTAGAGTCTGAGTGGAGACTCCCTCAGGGGATAAAGACATGGAAGATCTCACCTGGTTTCCTTTGGTTCCAGGGGGACCTTCCTTCCCTGGGTGACCCTGGGAGTAAGGGATAGAAAATGTGACCAGTGGCCCCTGTCACCCTCTCTGCACCCCTCCCTACACTTCTTCCAACCCAAATTTCCTGTGACCTAGTGAAGCCAACTGTCCATGGACAAGCACCACCAGTGACCTTTCAGTGCAAGGGTCACTAAAGGAGCTCTGAGGTCATGCACTGGGGTGGAAGGCCAAGGGGAACTGGATTCGGAAGTGGGGTCCCACTCACCGGGGGTCCGTCTGAGCCAGGCATGCCGGGGAGCCCTGGCTTCCCTTGAGGACCCTGCAGGAAGACAAAGAGGCTCAGGGTCACTAGAGGGGTCATGTCTGGACACAGACAAAATCCCAGCAGACATTTAGGGTTCTCCCTACATCCCCACTCTAAACCCCCTGTCCTCCAAATCACTTAGTCACTTACCTTCTCTCCATGAGGGCCGATGGCACCCTGGGGCCCGGGAAGACCCTACATACAGGGAAAGAGAAGTCACAGGGGCCTCCCAGGGTCTCTTCTATCCAGCCTCCCGGATTCAAAGCATGAGCAACAAGGGCCTGAAACCCTTAATTTCCTGTATCCTTCCAGGGTCTCACCCATTGTGGAAGCCCAAGGGAAGTCATGAAAATTGGGGAACGGAGTAGGGGCACCGCTCACCTGGGTCCCAGGGGTGCCCTGTTGTCCAGGAGGTCCTGGCTCTCCCTGGGGTCCCTAGAAACAGGTGACCAGGCACAGGTCAGAAGGAGATGGAGATAGAACACATTTAGAGCATGGAGCTGAGTCCCAGCAGCGATAGCCAAGAAGGCAAGAGCAGGAAGCAGGCAGGGGTCAAAATGGAGGCCAACAGGATGCTGGCAGGGACCTCGGGGGATAAGAATGGGGGTGGGATCTCCTATCCATCACTCACCAAGCTCCCTTTGGGGCCCTGGGGACCATCCATGCCTCGGACGCCCTGAAACACAAGATGGGTGTGAGCAGCCTGAAGGTGGCCCGGAGGGACCTGTGGTTTTCAGAGGCCCGGCCATTCCCGAGGGTGTGACGGTCAGACCTCCAATCCATCCCAAACCCAAGCAAACACAGCTGGCCCAGGCCTGCAGTGTGTGGGACTGTGGATCTGTGGGCTTGTGGGCTTTGGTTTTGTTTTTCTTGAAGATTTATTTCCTATGCCCAGAGCCCTCGGGGCACCACGCCACATGGCCCTCCCTGTGCACGGGGAGCGAATGCTGAGGCAGGGCAGTGTGGGGCCAGAGCAGGGGGAGCTCACAGGGAATGGGAAGCATGCCGAGAGAGGAGAGGGAGCAGGAAGGCAGCTAGAAAGGTGGAGAGTTGGAGAGGTCAAGGGGTCACCTCAGGGTCAGAAGTCAGGGAGTCACTTACAGGGGGTCCAGGAATACCAGGTGGGCCTTTGGGGCCAAGGAGACCTCGAGGTCCCTGCATTCACGGTGAGGGGAGGAGACGGCATGAATGGATAAAACTGTGTCCCTTTAGTGCTCATGTCCCCCTCCTGGCTTCCCCAGAGCCCCCTCCCCCAGCACCAGCCCTTGGACACTCACCGACTCTCCAGGCAGCCCTCGAGGCCCAATCTCCCCGTCATCTCCCTGGAGGAGGAGGACACGGTAAAGCTGCTGTGCCTTCTAGACCTCCCCTGCACCCAGCCCCTACATTTGCCACTACACTTACCCTCTCTCCATCCTCACCAGGGGGACCAGGAAGGCCCTGGGCACCAGTATCACCCTGCAAAATGGGGGAACTCATAAGAGGGGCTTCAGAGCCCCCAACACAGGCAGACACCGAACCTCTGCACTTAGCCCATCCATTACTTTCACTGAGCTCCTGCCAAGCCTCCAGCCTCCCTTCCCTACCTATCCTCACTCCCATAGAAGATCTATCCCCAATTACAACACACACCCACTAATGTACTCACCCTATGGCCCTTCTCTCCAGGGAGCCCTGGGAGTCCATCAAAACCTCGGTCACCCTAGGAGGAGGAAGGATAGCCAGAGTGAGGACACGACCCTGTCCAAGCCCACCCCTCCCTACTGCACCCTGAGCTGGGGGGGTGCTGATCCTGGGGAAGCCTGGAGAACTAGGTCATCCCCAAGAAACAACTGAGCCCAGCGTGGGCTGAAGGCTACAGGCTTCAGGGAGGGGCCCAAGCCTGTTACCTTCACTCCAGGATCTCCAGGCATCCCTCGGGCTCCATCAGCACCTGCCCGGCCCTGGGAGAACAAGGGAAGTGTCAGAACAAGCAGGGCCGCAGTCCCCTACCCTGCAGGCCCTGTCTCCCCACAACACCCATCCACCCCTGGGGCACTCACCCTTCGCCCAGCCTTGCCAGGAGGGCCTGTGAGGCCCTGAGGTCCTCTGGGGCCCTGGTGAGAGGAGAGATGGGGTGGGGTTAGGAGGCATAGGGAGGGGAGTGAGGGAGACTGAGCTGGTGAACAGATATGGGGGTGCAGTGGAGGAAAGTGGTCACCTGAGGTCCTAAGTCTCCAGACTCTCCTTTCAGGCCAGGGCTCCCAGGTTGGCCCTGGGAGAGAGAAGAGAGGATGGCCGTAAGGAAGGACACAGCCAACAGTGGCCTCGGAGTGTTCCCCAAAAGAAGCCCCTTTCCAGAACTATCCACACCCCACACACAATTAAAGCATCCTCCACCCGAGCACCCTGCTCACTCACCAAGGGTCCAGGGCGCCCTGTGTATCCCATGGGGCCAGGGGGTCCACGGAGCGCCAGCTAGGGGAGCAGGGGGACAGCAGAGCTGAGGGACAGGCAGTGGGAACCCCCAGCCCCAGCACTCTCCAAATTCACCCTTCCTCTCCTGATCCTCATCCACTGCCCAGGATTCTCCCCAACCTCCCTGTTAACCCCAAACCAACCCAGGCCTCCCCTGCCGCACACTCACTCCAGCCAACCCTTCCAGTGCCCCCCAGAGCCTTCCCTTTCCAGGGAAGCAGCCCCACTCACCCTCGCCTGCTGCAGGATCGCCTGGGCCTGAGCCTCCTGGGCCGCCACCACAGGGCCCTTGTCACCCCCACCACTGCCAAACCGGAACTGAGGGCAAGGAGAGAAGGTCCAGGTTCTCTTCCAAGAAAGCCATGGGACCCTCCCAGCCAGAGGCTTTCTCCAGCGTTTCTGCCCCTTGCCCCAGGTTCTGCCCATCCAGCATTTCCCATGGCTTCCAGATAATCACTTAGAGGATTCCAGAAACTCAACTCCTGCCCTCCTCCACTGTCCAGCCTCTGCCTCCAGAAAGACTCTCTTTTGGTTCTAGAGCTCCTGAAATATAGGCTGTTCTGCCCAGTCCTAGAAGACTGGTGTTTTGTTCTAGGTCACCTAATGAGGCCCCATCTCCCCAACCCCAAAGACGAATCCCTTTGGAGTGATGATCTTTGATGATCTTTAGAGACTCCTCCATATCTTTCCTGCCCATCTGGTTCTTGGTAACATGACACAATTCCTTGTCTTCCCCATCAGCATGTTCCAAAACCCAAGAGACAACTCACTGGGAGCATGAGAGATGTGCCAGGAGGACCAGGAGCCCCATCTGATCCAGGGAGCCCTGCTCGGCCAGGGGGGCCCTGGAGTGGGAAGAGAATGCAAAAGATGGGGTGAAAGATAAGGGGACATCAAGATCTTAGCATGATTTTGAAATATCCTCTTCAACAGAATAAGTGTAGATTGCTCTAGCTCTTTCCTGAGTCTCCCACCCCCATGGGGAAAATTGAGGGTGAGAAACCAGATCAGCACCCTCCCCAACCAGAGTCTGCCCTCCTTTCTGGTTGCTGGGAAGCACAACCATCCCCTCATTCATTAACAAGCCACCTAACAGGAAATTACTGGGCATGGTAGCCCCCCGCTTGGATACCACTAGCTCCCCCGAAGCTCCCCCGTCACATGGAGGACACCCCCTTACCCTCTCTCCAGGGTCTCCAACTGGGCCTGGGTTCCCCTGGATGCCAGGGGGACCAATCAATCCCTGAGGAACAAAAGAGTAGGGGTCAGGTGTGGGCATTCAGACAGGTGTGGACACTCAGCCTGTGGCTGAGGAGTGGTCTGTGCAGAACAGATCTGGGAATCTGGGAAGCGTTGATTGGAGGGATGCTCCCGAGTTCTGAGGAGGAGGCCTGGGCATATGTGGGGAAGGCTCAGATGAGCACATAGAAGGGGTTTCTAAGAAAAGAATGGCCACCAGGTCACTGCTAGACTTACCGCAGGGCCTTCTGGGCCAGGGGGCCCCTCCACGAGCATACCCTGTGGAGTCAAAGGTTAAAAATCAGAGGCGACAGGACCAGCACACTCAACCCCACTTGCTTCTCCTATTTCCACTGCCTCAGCCCTGTGACCAGCATAACTTACAGGTTCCAACACTGCAGGCTCTCCTTTCTCTCCCTTCAGCCCTCGGGGTCCATGGGCAGCCTGAAGGAGACACACATGTAGCCCCCAGTGGGGCCCGTGAGCAGCCAGGACACTAGGCCTTTCTCCATCTCAACTCCAACCTTGATTCTTAGATCCTCTCGAGACCACTTCAGCCCTACCCGAAAGCCCCACAGCCCTCCCCTAAAACTCCCTCTTCACAAACCTTTCAAGCCTGCCAAGGAGACCTCAGGGTTCCCTGCCCCCCAGTTCCCAGCCCCACCTCAGCAAACACAACCTCTCCATCTCCCTGAGAGCCTCTTTCAGGAAGGTCCCCAGAAACTTCCAGTGTTTTTGTTTGTTTGTTTGTTTTTCTTTTTTTTTGAGACGAAGTCTTGCTCTGTCACCCAGGCTGAAGTATAATGGCGCGATCTCGGCTCACTACAACCTCTGCCTTCCAGGTTCAAGTGATTCTCCTGCCTCAGCCTCCCAAGTAGCTGGGATTACACTGGGATTACAGATGTGCACCACCATGCCCGGCTAATTTTTGTATTTTTATTAGAGATGGGGTTTCACCGTGTTGGCCAGGCTGGTCTCAAAATCCTGACCTCAGGTGATCCGCCTGCCTTGGCCTCCTAAAGTGCTGGAATTACAGGCGTGAGCCACCACACCTGGCCCCTTTCAGGGATTTTAAACCACCCACCTTCCCAAACCCTCTTCTAGAGGACCCTATCCCATCTCCCAAACTCCCTCCCTAGAACCTTAAGAAACCTTCCACACATTTACCCCAATACATCATAAAAGAATCTCTCTAAGATTGTGGGTAGATTTTTATTTGGGGTAAGAGGAGGGCATGGACCCACATGAGAACCTGATAAAAGCTAGGCCGGGCGAGGTGGCTTACGCCCATAATCCCAGCACTTTGGGAGGCGGAGGCAGGCAGATCACCTGAGGTCAGGAGTTTGAGACCAGCCTGACCAACATGGTGCAACCCCGTCTCTAATAAAAATACAAAATTAGCTGGGTGTGGTGGCACATGCCTGTAATCCCAGCTACTTGGGAGGCTGAAGCAGGAGAATAGCTTGAACCCAGGAGGTGGAGGTTGAAGTGAACCAAGATTATGCCATCGTACTCCAGCCTAGGCAACAAGAGCAAAACTCCATCTCAAAGAAAAAAAAGAATCTGATGAAAGCTGTGAGTCTTTCTCCAGAAATGAAAAAGTATATGCTATTATGCACAGAATTTTATTTAGGATTTCAAAGGGTTCACAAGTTTAAATATGCCCCAAAGGTTAAGCATCCATACTCTAAGTAAATTTGGAGGCCAGGCACGGTGGCGCACGCCTGTAATCCCAGCACTTTGTGGGGCCGAAACAGGCAGCTCATTTGAGGTCAGTAGTTTGAGACCAGCCTGGCCAACATGTGAAACCCCGTCTCTACTAAAAATACAAAAAATAGCCGGGCGCAGTGGCACATGCCTGTAACCCCAGCTACTCGGGAGGCTGAGGCAGGAGGATCGCTTGAACCCAGGAGGCAGAGGTTGCAGTAAGCCAAGATCCTGCCACTGCACTCCAACCTGGGTGACAGAGTGAGACCCTGCCTCAAAAAAAAAAAAAATTGGAGAGCAGTCCCCACTGAATGCATTGCCCTTCCTCTGGCCCTCAAGTACATTCCAAGCCCACCAGTTCCCTCCCTTGCACACCTCCACTCAGATACCTGTTCCCAACTCTAGGGCCAGAAACAAAATAAGAACATGGAGAATGGGAGACATTCACCACCACCCCAACTCCCCCCAACAAAGATCTTCAGAATGCCCCTCTCCACCTTCATTCTGACCAAACAGCAATGATCCGTTTCAAAATTCTCTGAAATCCCATATCAACCCCAAATACCCAGAGAGCAGCATAAAGGAAAGGCAGTAGAAGCTCAAGGGAGGCAAGAGAGGGGAGGTATGGGATGCGGCAGCAGGGTAGAGGAGGCAGCCAGAACTGCAAGGCAGGCAGAAGACGGAGCGGAGTAGACAGGAAGCAGTCCCACTGACAGGGAATACTGGAAGATATGAGAACAACTAAGGGACACAGAACAAAATGACAAACACTTGGAAGCAAGAATGATGCCAGGGCCGAAGAAAATTAAACATGGCCAACATGGCTAGAAAACAAACTGGACAAACAGGAAGTGGCTGAACAGACAGGAAGCAGTGAAGGAAAGAGGATCCAGGAAGTGAACCTTCAACAACAACATGGCTACCGTGACCCAGAGAGAAAAGAAAGGCACAAAACAGGTAGAATGTGACTCCTGCAAAGGGAATCATGACAGTGAAGGGTAATTCTTCCAGAAAACACAAACATCAAGGCTAGGACACACAGGAAGTAGCCATGAGAAATATCGAGGCCCACAATGGAAACTTTATGATTTAAATGACCTGAGACATACAGGAAGTGGCTTATTGTCAAAGGAAATTGTCACAAGATAGCATGAAAAACTAGAGCCAGAACAGAAATAATAAATCCTTTGCAGTCCAACCTGACACAGTTACCAAGATGGATGCCACAGCTGGAGAAGGCAGGAAGGGACAGATAATAAGTGGCCTGTAGGTTAAAAAAAGGTGACATAGGAAGTTAGATCGTTTGGTAGAAACATGAACAAAAAATTATTTCACCAAGAAGAAATGATAGAGAAACACTGAAAATGGACACAAGGTAGTAGTTTATTGACCAAAAGCTTTATGAAATCCAGCTTCAGTTAGACAGGAAGTGATCAAGAAAGACAGGAAGTGGCTACATATTTTTTTTTTTTAATTCCCAATTGCCCTGAGCTTCAGAAGTATCCACAAGAGTCACAAGGTAAGACATTTGGCAAAGGAAGGCAGGTAGTAATCTTTTCAAGCAACATATACATCATATGTGAACAGAAAATGACAAGTCACAGATGGGAAATAGCTCACAGCCAACAGCCAAGGATCGAAACCAACAAGAAGCAATTCTTGTAGCTCCCACTGGTAGTCAAGAATGAAAGAGAAGCTCCTTTCACTTACGGCTCCTGAGTGGGCTGTCTCCGCAGAGAGGGCAGGGCCAAGCTCTGTCTCCTCACGATAATCATCCCCATAGCCATAGGTGTAATCGTAGGGCCCTTCAGGGGGGTCTGTGCCACCCTCCCCATATTCCTCTGCCTGGAACCTGTCGGCTGTGGGGGGGACCTGGAGATCTGTCTGCTCCTTCCCAGGGATGGGGAGGGAGAGGGGTAGATGGGGATGTTAGGGCTGAGAGGAGGCTTACCCTGGACCCCAGGGTGTGACAACTTCTAGCCCAAAGGATTCCAAGGTTAATCAGAACTGGATTTTTTCTCCCAAGAATAGCCATGGGAGTGGTTGTATATAAATGGAAGGGCCATCAAAGGCCAAAAATGGGGAGAGATGTCCAGAAAGTGGGTCCAGTGGGAAGAAGTGGTGGATAAAATGAAGGGTGGCCAGAGGACTGGATGCAGAGTGGACAGTCCATGGACACAATGACAGACAAAGGAGTCCAGGAATGACCAAAGAGATAGGGAAGACAAAAGGTGACAACACTGGACAGAAAGTGGCTCCCGGGAACAGAAATAGGACATAGAAAGTAAGACCATTAGACACCAACATGGAGACGAAGTCACTCAGGAATCAAAGAATCATGGAAGGAGGCCTGGATACTGAAGGGAACGGGCTGGACTTAGAGAGTCAAGCAGGCCCATAGTTCTAGAGTGACCCAAAGACAGAGGCCATCGATGGAAATGAGGAAGAACCCTCCGGCCAGAGGAGGGGCTGGTCCATCAAGACGTCATGGGCTGAGGGGAGTGAGTCACAGGTGCCCACTGCCCCCAGATGGGGTGAGGGTGGGGCATAGAGTTACCTCCTCAAGGGGTGGCAAGAGGCTCGACTCCAGGATTTCTTCCTCTTCACCTGGGGTGGGGTCCTGTCCCCAAGGAGAGAAGGAGAAGAGTAGCACGGGGTGGGAAGGAAGGAGAAAGGTTAGCAGAAGGGAGGCAAAGCAGCACCTGTCCCCCGAGGGCAGGGTCTGTCTGTGCTGGGGGATGGGGGAAATCTCAGATCTTGCAGCCCCTTTGGAGGGGGATAGTTTGGGGAGAGTGAACCTCCAAGGTCATAGAGGTTTGGGGGCAGAGATCTGGATGCCCCGGCTCTACCTGCCGGTAACTGCTGCCTCTGGTCCTGGGGCGGGGCCAGGCAGTGGGGGAAGCTGCCCTCCGAGCTGGGCATCGGGAAAGGGGAGGCTGCTCCCATGCTGGGTCAAAGCCTGCAGTTGGAGAGGGCCTCCGGCCTGGTGAGGGGGACGCCTGCCAGGTCATTGACCTCTTGGCAGGTGGGGTAGGCTTTCAGGGAGGGGTCCGATGCCCCCTAGGGGAAGGGGGAGGCCTGTGGTGGGGGCTCCCAGGGCGCTGCAGCAGAGAGACAGGGAGGGGGCAGGAACTAAGTAAATCCCCATAATCTAAACACACTGTGCCTCTCCCCACGGCATGGGGGAGGGGAGGAAGGTGTCCTAGGAGATGATTGCTGGGGGTGCTGGGAGAAAGGGAAGAAATGAAGGGGTCCCTTGAGTTTACCTGATAATCAGGGGTTGTCCCCGTAGTCATCACATCATAATAGGGGGGCTTGTAGTCATAGTAGAGAGACTCAGTGGGCTGGGATTGGGGGGTGGGCATAGACAGGAAGGGGATGGGGTAATTGGAAGGTGTGGGGTGAAGGGCGGGAGAGGGAGATATAAAGATGGTGTGGGAGTTGGGAAACGGGGGAGGTGTGGAGTTGGGAAACAGAGAGTTGAAGATGAAAGGAGAGGTTGAGGGTCAGGAGGGAGGTGGGGAGAGGTGGAACAGAGGGAAGGGGTTCCACATGTGGGGCAGAAGCAGACATGATTAAGAGATTGACCCTCTGATCTTTAGACCACTGACCCCAGAGCCTATCTGTATTCTAACTCTCCAGACCCCATCCAACCCAGGCTCCCTTCCCTTCCCTTCCCTTCCCTTCCCCCTACTACCTCCCCTTTTCCTGCCCCTCCAGGTAGGTGGGGGCCAGAGACTGGGTTCCCCACTCCCACACTTCTGCAGACCCACCCCTCCTTTGATATTCCCTCCATCCCTACTCCTTCCCATTCCTCCTCCTTGGTCTCACCATCCCGACTGCTTTCTCCTGGCTTCAGTCCCCTCTCCTACCTGCCTCCCCAGCTCTCACCCCTCTCCCACTGTCTCCCAATCTCTTAATTCAAAGAAGGAAGGGAAAACCCAGGGACACAGTTCCAGGAAGACTGGAAGAGGAGACGCAGAGCAGGGAACACAGCTCCCAGCCACAAATTCTTCATAACAACTCTTTTTATTTTTAGATGAAAATAAAAAGGCTGATGAATGAGGACTAGGAGGAGGGGGTGATGGGAATAGGGAGATGAGGGTGGGGAGGACAACTAAGGAGGAGAGATGCCTGGGTGTCTTCCCTCTCTGGGGTGTGCTGCACTTGGGGGTTCTCCCAGCTCCCTCACCTGGCTCTGGGGTTCCTGATTTTGTGGCCTGTGAAGTCTTGATGGTTGCTGCTGTGGAGATCTCTGGGCTCTGTGAGGCTGTTGGTTTTGGGGTCTTTCCCTCTGGCCCCCCTCGCATTCCAGCTCCTTCTGTTCACATGATTCATAGGCTGCCTGGACCCCTGGGACAATGGCCAGCTCCTGGACATCACCCTGCAAAGACATGAGAGAGATGGAGCGGAGAGATTCAGAGAGAGGCAGAGGGTATCATCCGGGAGAAAGAGTATAGGAGGCCAATCCTAGGTAAAACCCTAAGATGGGAGAAGGTCACTGTCAGTCCTCCATATGCATAGCCCTTTTCAGTTTTCAAGGGATCTCATAGGACCTTCATAACAACCAGGAAAGTTGGCAGAACAAGGATCTTTCTTTCTACCCATTTTTCAGATACGTTCCATTCAGAAAAGCCCAAAAAGGCAATGACTGCCCCAAGGTCACCCAGAGTGGCAGAATCAGGACCAGATCCCAGGCCTTCCAGAATTCTTTGCCTCCCCTCTGCGCTTTGTGGCAATGCATGAGCCCTTCCACAGTGGCTTCCAGAGACAGGGCTCAGCTTTAGATGCCTTGGCCTTCCAATGGCAGTGATGATGAGAATTCTCTGGACCTCTAGAAATGGAGTGGGGAGAACCCATTCCTGAGTTCCAATGGCATTTACTTTTGCCCACACATGGTGCTTAGCATACTCTCCATTGCACCGTAATTTAGGGATGTTGTCTCATTTCCAGAGCCCACCTGGGAGCTCTTGGGGGTGATAGAGACTTTATATTCTCTTCTTTGTTCTCCTTGTCCAGCAGGTATTCAGAAAATGTTGACTGGCTTGGAGGGTGAATGGAGGGATGGGTGAATGGAGGGATGGATGAATGGATAGATGAGTGGATGGGTGGCTGGGGGCTTACATGCATTAATGAATGGGAGCATTGATAAATAGTGAATGAATAAATGTACGTATGGGAGGGTGGACTGGTGGGCAGATGAACAGGGGTTACAGAGTAGATGGAAGCAAATGGGTGAATAGGTAGATGGGTGAACTTATGTGGGTGAATGACTGGTCGGATGGGAAGTAAGTGGGTCAGGAGATGGGTGAGTGAGTATATTGAAGGAGGGAGTGGTTGAGTTGGTGGAAGGATAATGGATAGATGGTGGCTGAATGGATGCATGCATCCTTGTGTGCATGGGTAGATGGGGAGGGTGGGTGGGTGAGTGAATAGCTGGATGGAGGAGTTGAAGAGGATAGATGGGTGGAAGCATAGATGGGTGGTTTGAAGGGGAGAGTGGTTAAGCAGGGGGAGGATTGACAGGTGGGTGGATATAAGCCTTCATGCATGACTAGGTGGGCGTGTGATGCATAGATGAGTAAATAGATGGGGGAGTGGGTGGTGGATGTGTGCATAGGTTGGCTGAGGAGTGAGTGAATTGATGGGTGGGTGAGGAGAGAGAGGGGTTGAAAGGATGGATGGATGAGGGAACTGATGAAGACTGAAGGACAGAGTAAGTGGCTGTGGACAGTCCTGCCATATAGGTAGGCATCTAGTTCTCCTGCAGAGAACAGTAGCCCTGAAGATAGAAAATAGAAATGAAAATTCATAAGAAAAAAAAATGAAGGCCTAGGGAATAGGAAGATGACATGCTGGGGCCAGAAGGGTAGTGGGCACAAGATAGGGGACCAGAAGTCAATCCTGCCTCTGATTGCTCTGGTTACCTCAAAGACTTCTTCATCCAGAATACGGGCACCAAAGATGATCACTCCATGGGTGTCCAATACTGGACGAGCACTTCGGGGGAGAGGCCGGGTGACTCGCTTCTTGCAGTCAACAATGAGGGTGACAGACTGGCCCTTCACAGCCACAGCCACACGGTGCCACCTGGAAATGGTGGAAGAGGTTCAAGTGAACTCTTGGCTGACTGAAGTAGGGGAGTCAACATGGTTGGAGAGCAGTGATAAGAGTTGAAGCCAATGGTGATAAGAGCAGTAATAACAATGGCTACCATTTATTGAGTGTTTACAGTGCACCAGACACCATGCCGTCACTTTCTTATTTGTGCCAATTCTATTTAATGTCTATTTTACAGATGTAGAAACTGAGGCTCAAAAATTTTAAGTAACTTGCCCAAGGTACAGGCTAGTTCAACATGCAGAGAAGGCTGTACACTCTAAAGCCCAAACTCTGGACTAGAAGTGACTGAAGTTTGGGCAGTGGGTAGGTGTGGTGTGGCCCAAAGGGTCTCAAGGGTTTCACAGTTTAGAGTGTAGGGGTTTGGGGGCACTTCCTCCTGAAAGTGTGGGCCAGGCAGACCAGAGGAGCAAACAAACTTACTTGCCATCTGCTAGGCTGAGGCCTCGGAAGACTGGCTGAGAGGGAGGTTGAGGCCGCCCAGTCTGGTCTTCATACAGGAAGCGGACAGGTCGGCCCAGCTCCAGGCCCAGCTGTCGGACACCCTGGGCACTGTAGAGAGTCAGGAGGGGAGCTTGGAGACCAGGGCGGGTCCGGACAACAGTCAGCAGAGAGAAATCTTTGGGAAATCCTCCTAGTAACCGAGAGAGATACACACAGAGTGAGAGGCAAAGGGAGCCGCCACAACCCCTTTCCTCCTGGTGTCTGATCCTAGGCCCCATCCCATTACCTCCCCCCAGGCCTACCCCACCATGTCACCCATACCTGGGAAAAGCTGGCGAGTGGGTGCACTGAGCTGGGCAGGTCGTGCCACTCGGTAGGCCACATCAGCTGGACAGATGCCTTTCGCTCTCCGGACACCATCAGGGAGGGAGGGGAACCTCAGGGCCCGGAGCACATCCACAGGGGGTGCACCTGGGAGAGTCCATGATTATCAGGAGAAGGGACATGCCCTCAGGAGGGCATAAATAGGGGACATTTGGGATCTAGAACTCAGCTTTCCAGGGCTCAAACTCCCTGCAAGGGAAAGGTCACCTCACCCTCACTTGCTTCTGAACAGTACCTGAATGGATGGGAAATGCAAAGGTACCTGGAGGCAGGGCAGCATCAGCTGGCATTCAACCCCATGACACTCCTGCCCCTGTCTCTCCTAGCATCTGCCTCTCTTACGCTCTCTCTTTGTCTTTTAGCTTATGAATCTGTCTCTCTCTGTACTCTCTGAATACTTCTCTCAACTCTTCATCTGTCTCCTGTCTCTCTCACTCTCTTACTCTCTCTGTCTCTTTATGTTGGTCTTTCTGTCTCTGTCTCTTCTGTCTTCCTCCATTTCTCTCACATTCTGTCCATCTTTTTCTCTCCCTCGCTCTCACTCTCTTTCCATATCTCTCACTCTCTGGGTCTCTGGCATCTGTCCCGTCTCCAGCACAAACAACATCTGGGCAATCGATCATCCTGGACACAGGAGGTGCAGGGGGGCCACGAGGAAGAGATCAGAGAAGCAGCTCTATGAGAGGGGCTTCAAGCAGCTACAGATCCCAGGTTTGGGGGATGGGGTGGGAACAACCCTGAGCATGCTGAGGAAAAAGATACAAGAAAGCTCTCCCAGGAGTCTGTGCCTCCTGGTTTAGGAGATGAGTTGGGGAGGGGTGGAGGAATGGGGGGCAGGGGCTGAAGCTGCCACGAGGATCCGGAACAGGTCCAGGGCCCTGAGCCACACATCTGTGGATCCCATCAGAGTGCTTGCCCAGAACCCAGGCAAGCTCCCCACACCTGGAACCTCAATCCTGTCTCACCACCCCCACCAACCCCACCACCTGGGACCCAAAGATTCAAGATCCAGCCCACCAGCCCTGTCTACCTAGAACTCAGCTTCCTAGGGCTCAAACTCCCTGGAAAACAAAAGATCACCTTGCCCTCACTTGCTCCCCTATACACATACTCTTCACACCATCAGCTCCAGATTGGAAAAATCCCAAAGAGAGTTCCAGCAAAACTTTCATAGAAGTGTGGGGCAGGGCAGAGGCCAGAGCAATCAGGAGAGTGGAGCTGGGTGGGGTGGGTGAGGTGGGGCGGGCAGGCAGAGAAAAGGCCCTTTGAGTCCAGGAGCCGGGAAACCACGGCCTTCCCCCCCAACCCCCACCTAAGCCTGGCCCCTGCGCGTGTGGCAGCTCCGCAAACACCAACACACAAGGGCCGCTTTGAGAGACGAAGGGTGAGTGAGACAGAGACACAGAGACTCACAGAGACCCCAGGCCAAGGAGACCTCGGAGGTCCCCACCCTCCACCAAATCCCAAGGGAGTACAATTCGATCATATGGACAACCTACCCACAGGTCCGCCCACCATCTTCCCACACCAGGCCACATACTTGCCCCCCTGTATCCAGCCTCATCTGCCCCACAGGCTCTCCACTGGTAGCCCCATTACCCTCCACCACTCTACCTCTGGCCCCCCAAATGCCTTATTCTCTAACCTTAGGAATTCTACAGTAACTCATTTCCCTAAAGTCCCATCTCTACCCACTCAGCCCCTGAAATAAGAAACAGTCATCTTAGCCATCCCCCTGCCTCCATGCCAGAGGATCCCTCTTCCCCCTAAGAAAGACTCCTAGAGTCTACAGGCACCATACGCCTCAATTTCCTGGCCCTGGGCTTCACTGTCCTCACATCTTGGAAGTTCTTCCTTCTGTAATCTAATCTAAATCTTTTGTGCTGCCATTCTGACCATTTTCTCTCTAAAGCAGAGAAGAATTGAATAGTCAAGTTAAATATAAATCAGCCCTCAGTGTCTCCAGAAATGGGCTTTTTCCAGCCTGCTGAGGACCTGGTGCTCACAGCCCCCTCCTTGACATCAAATCCCCTTTCCTAGAAGCCAGGAATTCTGGGTCCTGGGAAAAAGAAGGAAAAGATCAGGGTTGTGGGCACCAGGGTCCCAGGGGAGCCTGGCTGGCCAGAGGGAGGAGGGGCTAGGCAGGAATGCAAAGAGTTGGCTCTGGCCTCAGACACCTGATCCTGGCCTGTCCGGAGGGCCGTCCTGTTGGCAGCCAGCCCCAGTGCTCCCCAGAGCCAGCTGCGTGGCAGCATCGAGGGCACAGGGAGGGGGAGGGGGACCCTGTCCAGGAGGCCAATGAGACAGGTAGTCAAGGCTTCCTTTCTTTCTGGGCTTACTGGGCTCTGCTCTGAATCACAGGTGCTCACCCCTTATCCCAGAGATATCGACAGAAAGGCCATAAGACACACACGCCTCACCCATCAACATTGGCGTCTACCATCCCCACACCAGCAATGACTGGACCGGGCTGGCCCTGGCCATCTTCAGCTCTTCCCAAGGACTCAAGACAAGCATCCATCCCCATTCAGGGTCTCTAAAGTGGTCCTCCACCTTTCAGCCCTATCTGCCCTCCCCCAGTCACTTCAAGGACAAAGAGATTCCTACCCTGATGCCAAGGAACACAGGTGTCCTGCCCTCCAGCCTGTAGCCTTGAAGCCCCAAATCTCCTTGTTAGACTCAGAAGCTGCTGCCCCAGGCATCAGCTGGCCCCTTCCCAGAGACACTCAGAGCTCCAGCCTGACTCCGAGGACCCAGGCATCAGGACTCCTCTTACCTGCCCAGCCTGGGGCCGCGCTCAGCCCCAGCACCAGAGGTAGGAGGAGGAGGAGGCGATGGCAGCGGCTGCACCGCTCCATGGCTGAGAAGCCGAAACGCCGGGTCCCAGGGACCCAGGTCGGCCTGAGACGCTGGATGCCCTGAGGCTGACAGAAGACAGGGAGCAGACTATGAGCCTCAGACGCCGGGGTCCCAGGGAGGTCAGAGGCTGCGGGCAGCGACAGCTGTCAGCGGCCCAGCTCCATGCAGCAAGGCGCCGTCGGGGCTCCCGGCACTGCTCCCTCCTCGGTGGCTGCCGCTTCTGTGTGTCCCCGGCCACCCTGGCGCCCAGAGCCCCCACCTCGCCCCCGCCCCCGGCCCGGCCCCCGCCTCCAGCCGCCCGCCCACAGCCACCGAAGGGAAACCCCACCCTCAGTCTCCACCTGGGGAGGGAGGCGGGAACCCTCCCTCTATCGCTCGCTCTCTCCTGCCCCTTGTAGGTCTCAACGGCCTGTACCCTAAGATTCTCTTTTCGGGAACCCCAATATCTTCCCTAGCCCCTTCCTTTTCTAGGACCCAAACGTCCAGTCACACACACTCCCTCCCATTCCCTCCCTCTTGGGGGCCCAGAGCCCCCTTTCAGCAGAGGCCTGGGCGGGATTTAGGGCACAGTGGGAGGGGGAGAGGCGGGCCTGGGGGTCGCAGTCCCCACCCCACCCATAATCAGGTCTCCATAATTACTTCCCTCACCCCGCCCCGTGTAATTACAGAGCCGGGCCGGGGCGGGGGTATTTATAGACAAGGCTATAGATAGCGACGAACTGGGGCGGGGGATGTGGGGGAAGGTGTTCTACGGAGAGCAAGAGGCCAGAGACTGGGACCCACCGACAAACACAGGATAGTCAGGTCCAAGGAGATGCAAATGGGGGACGCGGTTAGGGAGTCCCAGAGCCGAGGTAGAGGGGGAGCAGTGGTAAGATGAGCGAGCAGTCGACTCTGGTTGGAAGGGTCCAGGGAAATGGGGTCACTCGGGGACGTGGGCCGCCTCCGGGCGGGCAACGCCTGAGAAGCACGCAGCGCTCGGCGCCCAGTGCGCCCCCACGAGCGGGCACGGCGCCGGGTCTGCCCGGAGCCCGCAGCGCGCCCGGAGGGAAGGCCGCAGCGAGCCGAGGCGCCGCCGCCCGCTGGCGCGGAGAGGGCACGAGCGAACAAGGCGCCTTTGAGAATCCACCGCCCCCCCTTCCTCCTCCGGCCGGCCCCGCCCCCAGCCTGGCACACCCTCTCCCCCCCTCCCCGACAAAGCTTGCCTTGTGTCCCCCACCCTGCGTGCACCTCTTGGGCCCCATGGAACCTCGGCGGCGGCGTCCAGGGATCGCGTCCGGAGCTCCCAACCGGATACCCCCCCCAAGCCCGAAACGGCGCTGCCCATCCTCATACAGTCACCTCAGTCCAGAAAACAGCGATTTTAATTTGAAAGCGATTTTATGTATGAGAGGGGAAAGGAGCCCCAAAGAGAAGGGACGCAGGGCAAAAATCATGCAGCCCCAGCACCCCACCTCTGCGGGCTGGCCACCTCCCCTCAATTCTCAGGCCAGGATCCTGTGTCCCCAGCCTATGCTATGTGCCCAGGGCTGGAGGAGAGCTGTAAAGGGAAGGCCTCCGGGACTACACTCGTGAAACCATCCCCTGTGGGGGCCCTGTCCTCACAGCCCAGGCCCCTTCCCCAAGTTAGACAGGAAGAGATGGGGGGGGGCGGCGGGAAGCTGGGAAGGCTAGTGCTTGGAGAGCCCTAGGGACAGGCCATTTCAGGGCCCTGCCTTTCCCAAACACCCACCTCCACCACTGGCATTTCTTAGTCAACCTGGGAAAGTACAGTACTTCTTTGAGTCTAACTGCAAGTCTCTATCCTCACAGGAAATTAAAAATAGCAGATCGGTTCCTACATCTCCACCAGCCCCTTCACCACCACCACCACCTTTTTTATATTTCAGTCTGACTGCAGAAGGAGGTGAAGTGTAAAAAGAGACTCTGGACAGTGACAGGGCCCCTCCCTCTTCCAGAGAGGCCCCCATCTGCCAGGTTTGAGAGGAGGAAGGCCTGTCAGGGCCCTACTCTCATGTCCATCAGCTTGGGAGGCCTGCCCCCCAGTATCCACCTCTGGGGGAGATCCCCATTTCCACTCTTCAGATGGGAAGCAAAATGAGGCAAGATGAGAAGGAAGCAAGGTCCTGGAGGCAAGGCCAGTGCTTTGTGCTGGGGGAAGGACAGAGGGTGAGAAATCACCCCAAATCATGGGAGACCCCGACAAATTCAGAGACTCAAGGCCACCGAAGAGAGACAACCAGTCCTCACAGGTATCTGGGGTCCCTTCCAACTTGGGATATCAAGCAGATCCCTTGGAGGGTTTATGTTCTTGGTTCTGCCCTGTACTTCTCACCCCATCAAGGTTCTGGGAACATGGCCCCCCACCCTGCCCCAGGGCTTGGAGTCCCTCTTGGATGTGTGCTCCTCCAGTGTGAGAAGCACCACGTCTGGGTCTGAGCTCAGGCCAGTTGATGGGGAGCCTCAAGCATCTCCATGAGGAAGGTGTCGATGGGGGTGTCACCAATGAGCTTGAAGAAAAACAGATGCTCTAGACACTTAAGGCCAATGGACCGGAGGGCAGGAAGACGTAGCAGCAGCTTGGCAAACCTGGGGTGGAGGTGGGAGAAGGGGATTGAGAGCTGGAAGCACACGGGCCCTGAACACATCCTCATAGCACTCCCCACCCCCAAGGGAGCCTCAGTGCCCCCCAGCCCCATCTCACCGTCCCTGCTGCTCAGGGTACTTCTGTTTGCAGTAGGTCTCCAGTGATGCATACACTTTCTCCCGCAGGACCTCCACCTCACTAGGGTTGGAGAGGCCCTTGGCATCTGGGATGGCAGGGAAGAGAGGAGGAAGAGAAATGAAGACAAACCAAATCAGGATGGCCATGCAGATGTGAGCCACAGGATGCCCCTTTTGGGCTGCACTTGCTTGCCCTTTACCAGAGGCCTGGCAAGGGAAGCAGGGCCCACTGGGTTTGTGGGATGGATCCGTGGATGTGGGTTTTTCCTCGGCCAGTTGGGAGATTTCCAGGTTGAGGGTCTTACTGAGGGGGATAGCTGGGTAACTTAGGAGTCTCGGAGAAGAGGAGGCTCCAAGGTTGCCTTGGCCTTGAGAGACAAAGGTAATCCTCCTCTTACCTGGATTAAACAGAATGATTGCCCTCAGGCAGCCAAGCTCTGTCTTGTCCATCCTCATGTCACGCATTTTGGACACTAGCTCTGTCAGCACCCTGGAGAGGGACCTGCAGGTCACTCAAAGGTCACAGCTCAGCCAGCCTTGGACACGGACCAGCCTATAGCCCCACCCCCTCTATCTACATGCCAGCCTAGCCGAGGGCCACTGACCGATCAAAGATGGCTCCTACTCCTGCTGAATGGGCTGAGTTGCGGTGCACGTGAAGACCTGTGGCAAGGAGGATGCCATCTCGAACATCAATGGATCGGTGTGAAAAGGAGGCAATGAGGAGTTCATTCCAGCCTGGGTGGGGCAGCAAGGGTCAGGAGCCAGAAATCAGGCCAAGGGATTCAAAGCACATCAGTGGAAGAGAAGGAGAAAAGAGGTGGCGAGGTCAGCAAGTTTGGCTCCCTGGGTACGCAAGGTAAGGCCACTGGGGTCACTAAAGATCGGGAAGTCAAAGAGGGGTCAAATGTCAAGAAGTCAAAGGGATCCAAGGTCACTGACCTGCCCGCAGCAATATGACCTGATCATCCAGAGGCAAGGAGGAAAAGTGTGGGATCCTCTTCGCCCACTCAACAAGCGTGAATAGCTGTTTGTCAGCTGCCTGACAGATGTTAGTCACAGGGTCATTTGGCTGCAGGGGACGGGGGTAAGAGTTATGGAAGATTTTGAGATATGCTGGGAGCCCCCTTGTAAGAGGCTTTTGACACCCCCTCCTTACATATAGTCTTCCTGTGAGCCCCATCCAAACCAATCCCTGTAAGTGAGTCTTCTCTTCTGGCATTAGTGCAAACAATTATTTATTTGGGACATGCCTATGGTTCTGCCAGTGGGTTGTTTGGGGAGTGGAGACAGAAGGAGCTATCACATCCACCTCAGATGTTTGAAAGACCTTGTTTGGCAGCACCTCCAGTCCCAAGTAGTGTTAGGAAGGTTATGAGGGGAAAGGAGGGGGAGGGGATGTAGAACAGACCTAGACTGCCTCCCCCAACCCCCATCACGAAGGAGAGTGGATTGACCCCAACACTCACGCTGCTGCCGCTACCCCCGGTTCCCCCAGGACCCTCAACGCCCTGGTCACTCTTCTGTTCCACAGCAAGCTCTGCCTCCAGGATCCTGTCCACAGGCATCTCCTCGGGGGCTCCCCCAGCCCCCTCCCCATCCCCATCCTTGTCCTTTCCCCGCTGACGCTCCTCCTGTACCGCTGCAGGGGGAAGGGGGAGAGAAAAAATGGAAAGTCAGCAGCCAGCCATGAAGGGGTTCCACAAATATCCTTACGGCCTCATCAGGATCTCATGGCCCTTGGGAGATATTTATAGGAATTGGGGAAGTCACTAGAAAGGGTGGACTGGGGGCAGCCCTGAAGGAAGGGTTATAAAAGGGCAGGTAAGTCAGTCGGGAAGGGTGAGGTAGGTAAAAGAATTAGGGAGGAATTTAAATGGAGAGCCTACTACATGGTTAAAAAAAACATGCCAAGATTCAACCTGAGAAAGCTGATTGAAAAAAAAAATTTTTTTAAATAAAATATGCCAAGAAACATGCTAAGCACATTTTAACATTCACTCAATTATCATAATGATGCTGGAAGCATTTATTCTCATTTTTAAGATGAAGAACTCGGGGTTCAAAGAGATTAGTTTGCTTAAATTCATATAATACATGGCAGGTCATACAACTGACTCTAAGTGTGTCTGAGTGCAAATCTTGTGCTCTTCTGACTCAACAAATAGGCAGTGAAAGGAGCACTGGCCTAGGTCTTTGAAGATGTGGGTTCTGATCCCAAACCTGCCTGCCACTCCTTTGTTGCATGACCTTGGGAAAGCCAAGCCTCAGGCTCATCTTCTCTAAAGTGGGTGTTTTGACCAAGATATGCTCTAAAGTGTCTCTCAGAATCCTAGGAATCTGACTTAAGAAGATAAGATGGAGACACAGAAGAAGGAAGGGAAGCCCTGAGGTCTTCAGTAAAGTCTGTAAGCTTAAGAGTGCCCAGTCCCAGGAGTTAGAGGAAAGATCACAGATAACAGGAGACAGAGACCAGAGAAGGTCCATGGAATCAGAGGAGGAACCACTCAGGTTAGAAATGGGGAGACAGCCCATCATGGCTAAGGAAAAGTTATCCTATCCTAGGATCAGTCTAGGGAGGGGTCATATGTGCAGGCCACAGAGGCCTAACCATTAAGAAGGAAACTCAAGGGCCAGAACAGGGTAACAGGGAGGAGAGCTGCGAAGGGAGAGAGAAATCAAATATCGCCCTCTAGAGGAGAGAGAGCAGTCCACCCTTCCAGAGAGGTACACAGTCTGAGTGGGATAAGGGAGAAGGGCATGTGGTCTAAGACGCCTGGGCAGGGCGGGTCCTTACCCTCCCTCTTCATGCCAGTGGCCAGGCACTTCTGATAGCGGCAGTACTGACAGCGGTTCCGCTGGCGCTTGTCCACTGTGCAGTCTTTGTTGTCCCGGCAAGAGTATGTAAGGTCTTTGCGGATGGTGCGTTTGAAGAAGCCCTTGCAACCCTCACAGCTGTAAACCCCGTAGTGTTTGCCTACAGGGAAAGGGGAGGAGCAATAAGAAGGTTGCATGGAGACACCTTCACCATTTAGTCTGTTTCCAATCTCCCCCTAGCAAAACTTAAAGTCCTCCCTGTTTGCCAAATACAGAGATAGGGAACCAGGAGCTGAGTGATGATCCAGTCCCAGTCTCCTCACTGTTCAGAAACCCTACACGCTGCTTCCTTTTCCCTCTGACCTTCCCCCCAATCGCGTCCTACATCTCAGCTTCAGCTTCTTTACTCCCATCAGGCCTCCCCCAGGTCACTTGCTCTGACCAAACTCCATAAGCCCTGGGAATCCCACAGGTGATGATACATGGCCCAGACTCTCCCTCTCTGTTCATCCTCTGAGCCACATACCTGAGCTTCTGTCCCCGCAGATTGCACATAGCCGTTTGCCAGCCCCAGGGCCACCTGGAGGGGGTGGACAGTGCAGGCCCCGGACCCCTAAGACTGGTGGCTTCACATCTTCAGGGGGGCCAGACCCACCCCCAGGGAGTGACACTGTTGAGTTAATCTGGGATGGGGGAAATAGGGAAGTCACAGGAAGACTTATTGGGAAGCAGAATGTCACAGAAGTGATGGAAATCATTCCCTACCACTAAGCAAGGCCCTGCAATGCACATTCCAGAGGCTGTCATTTACACTGCAGTCTATGTGAAAGGCCATCCCTGGAGCACAACCCCAAAGTGAATAAACAGGCCCCCCCTGAAATTGTGCAACACAGTGACCCTGAAGGGCAGGTGTCTTGGGAAAGCAGATGGGATCAAAAGGGCAGAAAATCAGATAGATGAAAAGGACATCAAGAATATCAGAATTAGCCGGGCGTGGTGGTAGGCACCTGTAATCCCAGCTACTCAGGAGGCTGAGGCAGGAGAATTGCTTGAACCCAGGAGGCAGAGGTTGCAGTGAGCTGAGATTGTGCCACTGCACTCCAGCCTGGGCAACAGAGCAAGACTCCATCTCAAAAAAAAAAAAAAAAAAAAACACACACACACACACAAAAACAAAGAATATTAGAGTTCTTTTAGGGGAGGAAGCATGCACTGAAAGATCAGTCACCTCAGGAAAGGCAAGGGGTCTCATAAAGACCACAGGCCTGACAAGGTTAGAGGATTGGAAGGTCAATGGGCCATGGGGAAGTTCACACAAGGATCTGGGGTTACAAGGAAAACAAGAAAATGAAAGTGGCCAGGCAGTAAGTTGGTCACAACCTCTCACCTGGGGGCTGCTGACAGGCCCGGAGAATCCTGGGGGAGCTGGAGGGGGCAGACCAGGGGACCCCATGGAAGAACTGATGACTGGAAAGGGAGAGCCCAGTGGGGGTGGTGGCATCGGGGGTGGGGGTGGGGCCCCAGAGCCTCCAAGGGATGGAGCTGTTGAAGGGGGTAGGGGTGGCCCAGGAGGAGAAGGGGGAGGGACTCCCTGGGGAAGGGGATTTGGGGAGGAGCTGTCTGGGCTTCGGGAGTCTGAGGGAGGGGTATGTACAGGCACACAGACACACAAGAGACAGAAGAGACAAAAAAAGAAAATGAGTCTTCAAACATCCAACTAGAGACTTTAATTCTCTAATACCCCACCGTGCCGGACCCAGCCCACTCCACCCATCCCCAAGTTCAGAGACACCCTGCTGTCAAACAACAGTGTAACTCCGGCTGGTCCGATGGTAGTGGGTTATCAGAACTTATTAACATTTGTGTCACTAAAATTGGTATACAACCTCCCACTGCTATATTTGACTGGCTAAAAAAACCCAAAAACAGCGTAACTCCTCATTGTGGTGAGAGGAGGGAGTTGACAAGGAGAGGAGGATAGTTCAGGTGAGGAAAATTTTCCAACCAATCCATTTGAATGAATACCAGGTCATCCCAAAGCCACACCTGTCTCGTGGGTGGGGCAGCACGTGGGGTAGACCATCGAGCCCCTCTATTCCCAGCGTAAAGCCAGGTAGCCAGAGCGTGCAAGGGAAAGAGACAGGCAGGAGAGACCCCTCCTAAGACGCAGGATCTGCCTGTAAACGCCCAAAGTCCTGAGGTTTAAGAGGAATCGTGCCCTTCCCAGGCCCGCGACCTCCGGTGCCCAAGGCCTCAAGCGGTCACAGCTAGGAGGGCGGAAGCTCCCCTTCCCCGCCCCGCCCCGGGGGGGAGGGTGCTAAGGCCCTCGGGAGGGAGGGGACGCGTGTTTACAAACAAGGGGGCGGGAGCGCAAGGAAAAGAGCACCGGGGGAGGGTGTGGGGGAGGGGTCGCAGATAAAGCGGTCACTGGCTCGCCTGCCCTTCTGCTGGGGCACTCACCCCGCCCGCTGTCGCCCATCCCGTCCCGTCCAGCCTCCCCTGGCTCCGGCTCCGGGGTTTGTTGTTCTCCGCCTGCCACCGCCGCCGCCGCCGCCGCTGCGGGATCCAGCCAGGGCCGTCGCCGCCGCCACCGGGACGCGACCCCACAATGCATTTCTTTTCGCACCCCCACCGGCCCACACTGCCCTGCGGCATGCCGCTGAGGGAGGAAGGGCGGGCGAGCGGCCCAAGACATGATCCCTGGCTGAGAGTAGGGATACCGAAGAGGTCCCAGGGATTCCCAAGGATTGATCGGAGGATTAGCTGAGCACGAGGAAGCCCCTGAGAGAAAGACTCTGGCCTGGATTGGGTCGAATTAAGCCCGTCGCTCTGCTCAGTACCAAAATGACAGCGCCAATGTGGCAGCCATCTTTGTACAGACGGGAAGTCTCGGCGCGAGTTCCCGCCCCCTCGTCTAGTTGGAAACCGAGGAGGCGGTCTCCTCCGGCCTGTTAGCCCGCCTCGCCCACCCTCCCCTCAAATCACCTCCACACTCGCGCATGCGTGTCAGTGCAGGATGGATTCGTCGCTACCGGAGTGCCGCCATATTGGTAAAGGCATTAGGGCGAAGGTGGAACGGAACTTCCTGTTCTCGCGGGATCTAAAGGCGGGACTGCCACGTCCAAGCAAACCGGGAAAGGAGAGGATCCCGGAGCCGGTGAGAATTCTCTGTTTTTTCTCTACCATCCTTTCCAGGCCTTTTCCTCACCTAATGAGTCGTAGAGACGAGGGCCCAGAGAGTCTGTAAAGTGGCTGGTGAAAGATTAGTGTCCCAGGGCCCTACATCCGGGAGGTGGTTCGGGATAAAGAGAACTAGTCTTGGGAACAATGTAGGTGGGAACTTAAGGGAATGGGAGAGCGGCCCATAGAGGTGGACGGAGGGCGCGATTGGAGTAAAGCGGACCCTGTGTAGGTATAGAGTTGAGTCAAGTGGAGTCACTGCCTCTGTCCCTCTGGTCAGCGTGATGGCCAGAGGCCTGGGGGCCCCCCACTGGGTGGCCGTGGGACTGCTGACCTGGGCGACCTTGGGGCTTCTGGTGGCTGGACTCGGGGGTCATGACGACCTGCACGACGATCTGCAAGAGGACTTCCATGGCCACAGCCACAGGCACTCACATGAAGATTTCCACCATGGCCACAGCCATGCCCATGGCCATGGCCACACTCACGAGAGCATCTGGCATGGACATACCCACGATCACGACCATGGACATTCACATGAGGATTTACACCATGGCCATAGCCATGGCTACTCCCATGAGAGCCTCTACCACAGAGGACATGGACATGACCATGAGCATAGCCATGGAGGCTATGGGGAGTCTGGGGCTCCAGGCATCAAGCAGGACCTGGATGCTGTCACTCTCTGGGCTTATGTGAGTCTCCAGGGGATGGGAGAGAGAAGGGCTGGTTCTGGATTGTTGGGAAACTCCACAGTACTTGACCTTGACTCTCCCTCACCAGGCACTGGGGGCCACAGTGCTGATCTCAGCAGCTCCATTTTTTGTCCTCTTCCTTATCCCCGTGGAGTCGAACTCTCCCCGGCATCGCTCTCTACTTCAGATCTTGCTCAGTTTTGCTTCCGGTGGGCTCCTGGGAGATGCTTTCCTGCACCTCATTCCTCATGCTCTTGGTAAGTAACCTCTGACTTCTACCTCAAATCTAACCTATTTCGTTCTTTGGAGGAAAAGGGTTCTTTCTCCTTTATGATCCCTGACCTTTCGATATTCCCCCAAATACACACTCATTGTGTCAGATATTCCCTCATCTGGTTTTCCCCCCTTCTTCCAGAACCTCATTCTCACCACACTCTGGAGCAACCCGGACATGGACACTCCCACAGTGGTGAGGAAGAGACAGATGGGGATGGGAGTTGGGGTGCTGGGGAAGGTCCGTCTCTCCCTATTCCTCACCTCCCGCACTTGAGGAGGAGGAGTCTGGAATGCACATCTCCCTTAATGTCTCAATGCCTCCATTCCCAGGCCAGGGCCCCATTCTGTCTGTGGGACTGTGGGTTCTCAGTGGAATTGTTGCCTTTCTTGTCGTGGAGAAATTTGTGAGACATGTGAAAGGAGGACATGGTCACAGTCATGGACATGGACACGCTCACAGTCATACACGTGGAAGTCATGGACATGGAAGACAAGGTGAGCCCAGGAACAACTTTCCTGAAAGCTGACTTGCCTGCCTCAGAATCTCCTCATCTTATGGCCCTCAGGAGGGAGAGGACATGTTGGAAGATCTGTTCTCCACTCTGACCAACTCTTTTCTTCCCTCAGAGCGTTCTACCAAGGAGAAGCAGAGCTCAGAGGAAGAAGAAAAGGAAACAAGAGGGGTTCAGAAGAGGCGAGGAGGGAGCACAGTACCCAAAGATGGGCCAGTGAGACCTCAGAACGCTGAAGAAGAAAAAAGAGGCTTAGGTAAGGGCCAGAGTTGGTGATAAATTTGGGCAAGGGACATCATCACAAATCACATGGAATATGTGCTGTGGGTAATGGCAGGTATCTGAGAAACACTAAAGGACTGGGTGTAAAGTGGTCTCTGAGGGGAGGTGTGAGAATAGCTGACCAAGACTGGAACAAGTGGTGATGGAAGCCTCTGATCATTTTCTCTTCTTGTCCTGTACAAGACCTGCGTGTGTCGGGGTACCTGAATCTGGCTGCTGACTTGGCACACAACTTCACTGATGGTCTGGCCATTGGGGCTTCCTTTCGAGGGGGCCGGGGACTAGGGATCCTGACCACAATGACTGTCCTGCTACATGAAGTGCCCCACGAGGTCGGAGACTTTGCCATCTTGGTCCAGTCTGGCTGCAGCAAAAAGCAGGTTGGTGATGTCTGCCAAACACAGCTGCCTCAAACCCTTTATCTCTCCTCACTCACCCTAAACCCAAACAGCCTCTTATTAGTTCCAAACAATTCATACTGTCATTGACAAGTCCTCTAGAAATGAGGGGGAAGAAGTTCTGGTTACTTTGTCCTTTAGCTCAGTATTTCTTAAACTGGTCTATAAACCATCTGAATGGTTTAGTGGAGTCTTACACACACACGCCTACTCAATCAGAAAGTCTGTGGAAAGGACCTCTGATCTCTTAAGATTTTTCAGAAATTGTCTATTCTAGACTGCTCCCTCTTCTCTTTTTATTTTGATGTTTAGTTTCCAAATCCATGTCCCCTATACCTATACCCCACCAGCCACTTCTAAACCACTGATAATCTTTAGCTATTGGTGAGTGCCTTTTTCTCTTTTCTGCCCATCAGGCGATGCGTCTGCAACTACTGACAGCAGTAGGGGCACTGGCAGGCACAGCCTGTGCCCTTCTCACTGAAGGAGGAGCAGTGGGCAGTGAAATTGCAGGTGGTGCAGGTCCTGGCTGGGTCCTGCCATTTACTGCAGGTGGCTTTATCTACGTAGCAACAGTGTCTGTGTTGCCCGAGCTGCTGAGGGAGGCATCACCATTGCAATCACTTCTGGAGGTGCTGGGGCTGCTGGGGGGAGTTATCATGATGGTGCTGATTGCCCACCTTGAGTGAGGGGTGGATAAACTACCCCTGCCCCAAACCTCTACCCCTAACTCCAGGTCAGGGGTGCGTAGAGGTTGGGGGCCCTGGCCAGGGACATCTGCCAAAGGAAGGAACTGTAGCCTGGGAGAATGGTTACTTTGGCATTAGGGCCTTCAAGGGCTGGCAGTCTTACAGAGGCTGGAGCGGTGAGAATGAGAGGCCAGAGGGACCATAGTGTTGGGCACTGTCTGACCATGTTGCATTTGGAAGGCTAAATGGGGCCATGAAGAAGGCTGGAAGGGACAGGGGGTGATGGCAGCCTACCTGGTGTCCCCTACCCCACCTGTTCTCGGAGAACCAAGTTGCTACACAGGAAGTTCTCCAAGGTCCAGTTTCCTTTCTCCCACCAGTTGGTGGAGGCTTCAGGGAAGACCAGAGTCCTGGACAGAGAGGGTAACAGGAGGAGTCGGGGATAAACATCAAACATCAATCGTGTGTCCTGATTTGGGAGTGATTGGGGGGATGGGGTGGGAGAGGGTTAGTTGGTATTCTCATGGCCTGATTTTTTTTGTTTCTATTCCTTTTATATCACTGTGTTTGAATCGAGGGGGAGGGGTGGTAACCGGAAATAAAGACCTCCGATCTTCCGCCCCACATGCAGTCTTTGTCTTTTTGGGGGGAATGGGGCCCCTTGTCTTCTCCACACCCGGGGCCCCTAAGCAGCAGTGTCGGGCCACGCCCCCTCGGTGGGAGGTCGGCCTGCGCTGGTGGCCGCAGATGGCCTAAGGCTGGCGGGCCTTTGATTGGCCCCGGCTTTGCCCTTGCCACGCCCCTCTGCGCTGGGATTGGCTTAGTGCTGGGATTCCCACCCACCCACAGCCCGCCATGGCGTCTCAGCTCCAGAACCGACTCCGCTCCGCACTGGCCTTGGTCACAGGTTGAGGGGGTTCTTTCCCCGGGCGGTTTGGGGTATTGGAGTGAGGTCAGGGGCGTGCCCTTGGAGTGCGCGGCCGCTGTGACCTCTGGCCCCTTACCCACATTTTACTTTCTGCCCTGTGACCTCTGATCCCTGCCCTCTCCTCCCCGTGCCCGGTCCGGCGTGTTCTGTCCTACCTCAGGTGCGGGGAGCGGCATCGGCCGAGCGGTCAGTGTACGCCTGGCCGGAGAGGGGGCCACCGTAGCTGCCTGCGACCTGGACCGGGCAGCGGCACAGGAGACGGTGCGGCTGCTGGGCGGGCCAGGGAGCAAGGAGGGGCCGCCCCGAGGGAACCATGCTGCCTTCCAGGCTGACGTGTCTGAGGCCAGGGCCGCCAGGTGCCTGCTGGAACAAGTGCAGGTGAACGCCAGGCCACTTTCCCCCTCTAAAGCTCTAATATTGCCTCCACTGCCCCGGCTTTTTGTGGGGGGTTTTTGATGCGTAACCTCCCCCTCCCATAGGCCTGCTTTTCTCGCCCACCATCTGTCGTTGTGTCCTGTGCGGGCATCACCCAGGATGAGTTTCTGCTGCACATGTCTGAGGATGACTGGGACAAAGTCATAGCTGTCAACCTCAAGGTGGCGATCTCTGAACCTGCGACGTTTGGCCCCCTTAGCCTGGGGAGGGAGTTGGAGGAGGGCTGTCACCCCAGCTGATCTTTTCTCCCTTGTTACCCTTTCCCGCCAGGGCACCTTCCTAGTCACTCAGGCTGCAGCACAAGCCCTGGTGTCCAATGGTTGTCGTGGTTCCATCATCAACATCAGTAGCATCGTAGGAAAGGTCAGGTTGAGTTGGACGAGGTCAGCCAGCCAAGTGGTATAGAGAGGAGAACCCCTCCTTGAGACTCCTGACTCATTCCACATCTCTGACTCACCTATAGGTGGGGAACGTGGGGCAGACAAACTATGCAGCATCCAAGGCTGGAGTGATTGGGCTGACCCAGACCGCAGCCCGGGAGCTTGGACGGTTGGTCAGATGCTTGAGGGTGCTGGGGAGCACCTGGGGGGTCTGAGGGAGGTACCAGCATTCAGCCCTCTCCAGAATCGGCAGCCACTCTCCTTCCCACAGACATGGGATCCGCTGTAACTCTGTCCTCCCAGGGTTCATTGCAACACCCATGACACAGAAAGTGCCACAGAAAGTGGTGGACAAGGTAGGAGGCTGTGGGTGGAGGGCAGAATCATTCAGAGACTCAATCTCTCTGGGCTTCACAGAGAGAGAGAGAGAGAGAGAGAGAGAGAGAATACTGGGCACAGTTCCTGGCAAACATTAAATATTCAATGAATGTATGAGAAATGAAGACAAAAAAGGGTCACAGACTCAGTCTTCAAAAAAATCCATAAAAGAAGCTTTCACCCACATGAGTATTTCCTTACAGATTACTGAAATGATCCCGATGGGACACTTGGGGGACCCTGAGGGTGAGCACTGAATGTAGTGGGGTCCCTGGGAAGGGGGCCTGAATGAAGAGATCCCCAAAGTTTGGGGATTTTCTAGGGGACTGGTGGTTGGTGTCTGTGGAGAGGTTTGTGGGGAGGGATGTCTTTGGTGGGAGATTATGGCTGTTTTGGGTCTATGGGAGTGAGCAGAATTCTGCCCTCTCCCCACCATTCTCATAGATGTGGCAGATGTGGTCGCATTCTTGGCATCTGAAGATAGTGGATACATCACAGGGACCTCAGTGGAAGTCACTGGTATGAGGCCAGCATGGGGAGGGAGAGGGCAGAGAAGTAGAACCCAGACTATATGAGAAAGCAAGTAAGGGGAGTCTGGAGCCACTGGGAAGGGCAGAGGTTCCCAAGGCCAGGGACAGAAGTGGGTACCCCCTAGCCCATTTGTGTCTCCACCCATGCATCTGTCCAAATGTTTCTGCCCCTCCCAGGAGGTCTTTTCATGTAACTGCCTCAAGGACCCTGGACTCTGCTCACCCCCCCACCACTCTGCCTGGCCTCCTGCTGATGAGGACTCTAAGTTCCCAGGATACAAAAGGGGTGGCAGTGTATGGTTCAGGAATGCTGAATATGGGAAGCAGGGGTGCTTGTGACCCTAATAAATTCCAAGTCCTCTTCCCTGCCACCTCCGGCTCTTCTTGTGTCCAAGCCCTCAGACCCTTCCCCACCTCCCCCTCCTTTCCCTTTCCCGAAGGATTGTTCCCTTTCTCTGCCTGGTCTCCCAGGGCAACCCCCGCCGCCGGGTGTGAGAGGAAAGAGTATGTGTCACTGTGTATGCGTGACACTCCGGGTCTTTTTGAAGGGAGGGGTTCGTGCGTCACCCCTTTCCACTGGTTCTGCAGCACCAGTCCCCTCCCCCCAACTCCCTGGGTTCTTATGGTCCCCAAGGGTGATTTGTTCATGGCCCCATCTTGGTGTCCAGTCTGGCCTTGAAAGGGGGTCTTGGAACAGGTGGCCCTCCCCCACCCCTCTCCTTTCTCTGAGTCCCCCCCTCCCCTTTCTCTCCACCTTACAATAGCTGCAGCCGGCCTGGGGTCGGATGGGGGGGATTAGGGGAGGGGGCCAGGATTAGGGGAATGAACCAGCCGATGAAAGGGGCTGGAGAGAGCAGGAGGGAGGGGGCTGGGAAGAGGAGGAGGAAGGGGAGGGGGGTCTGCGCTAATCGACTCTGGCGCCCACATAAGGACTGGCCACGGACTGAAGGAGAGGACAGGGAAGTAGGGGGGAACTGGGGTGGGGGGCGAGGGCACCCACTGCTGCCTTGTCCCAGGGACAGGCCACCCCCTGGCAGCCGCAGCCCAAGTCCGGGAGCCTCAGCTCGGGCGGGGACAAGATGCCCATCAGGGTCTCTAACTGCCCCCCACCCCCTCGCCCTGTATCCCTCTCATTCCCTACACTCAATGGGGATCGCTCTGCCCCTTCCTCTTCTCTTTCCTCCCCATCCCCTTCGTTTACTCTAGAGTCCTCGAAGAGGCTTCTGCCCACTTCCCACTCCAGACATTCTGCCCCTGTGTACCCCACCCACACGCGCACCCCCCCTTCCCAATGGGAGCTCCATCTTGTGTATGTCCCTGTTTCCGCGTGGTGTCTCCATTCCCCCTTTCCTCCCGTGCGCCTCCCTCCCTTCCCCGCCCCGGGCCGCGGCTCCTGATTGTCCAAACGCAATTCTCGAGTCTATGGCTCCGGCCGAGAGTTGAGTCTGGACGTCCCGAGCCGCCGCCCCCAAACCTCGAGCGGGAGAGCGGGTCGGAGGGTCTAGGGAGAGCCAAAGCAGAGGGTGGAGGGAGTCCCCAGGGTGGTAAGGGGAATCCCGGGCACATCGGGACCTAGGTGTGTTCTCAGGACTAGAAGGCTAAAGCGGCAGATCTTTTGCAGCCTTTTCCCCCGGGATCCTGGAATGGGGGTTACGGAGAAGTGAGGGGGGTTGATCCCCAGAGTCGCCAGGGTACGCAGAGTGGGGGAGGTAGCCCTTTTCACGAGCCCTCTGTCCCCTCCTGGGGTCCCAGATATTCCAGGCCCCGGCCCCCCGGAGCTGAGGCCCCGCGTGGGGGCCTCTGGAAGGGAACCGAGGCTAAGGTTGTTGGCCGCGCGACGGTGCTGGGCCGGGGGCGGAGACCGTGGTTCCCTAAGTGGCGCAGAACTCCCGGGACGCAGGATCCTCACGCGGGACGAGCCCGTCCCGTGGGCGGGAGAACCGCGGCGTCCACGTCCCGTCCCACCCGCGCCGCGAATGGTGGGTGACGTCTCCGCCGGCGGGGGGAGCGGGTGTAGCGGAGGAGCAGGCGGAAGTGACGTAGGGCCCCAGCGCCCGGGCCATGGCGGCGGCGGTGGCGGGAGCTGCTGTCTGAGCAGCGGTTGCGGACCGAGCGAACTTGGCCCAGGAGCCCGGGCCTAGGGAGAGGCGCGGCGGCGGCGGGAGCGCGAACGGCTGGAGCTGGGTGAGGGGCAGTGCCGGCGCGGGGGCGGGAGCGGGGGCGGAGAGGGGCGCTTCTGGAGGGGCGGGGTCTACGCGAGGGGCGGCCCCCCTGACGCCCTCCTCCCCTTCCCCCCACCCCCAGCCTTCTTCGCCTTCTCCTCGGCTGTGGAGCCCTGGTGGGGGGTCTGCGCCCGGTCACCATGACGACGCCGGCGAATGCCCAGAATGCCAGCAAAACGTGGGAACTGAGTCTGTATGAGCTGCACCGGACCCCGCAGGTGACAGGCATTCTCCCTTTCAGGCTTACCCCCTCCCCCAAACCCTTATATCCACAGACCGCATCACACAGCTTCTTTTCCGTAATTTGCTCTATTCTGCCTTGCCTGGCCCTACCTTTGAATCACCTTAATCTTTCCAAAGCACTTTCGCATTTAGCTCATTTAATCCTCAAAACAGCCCTGCCAGAGAGGTGGAACAAGTATTATTATCTTCATTTGAAAGATCACAAACACAAAAATTACCTTCCCTGTTCCTCATTCAGTGTCATAAGTCAGTGCACATAAGACTCACTTTGGGAGTTTATTAAAAGCAGAGCTTCATGCCCCCCAACATTCTGATTCAGTAGTGAATTGGGTTCTCAGAATCTGAATTTTTAACAGGCACCCTATGGGGTTCTAATACAGGTAGCACCAGGACTTTAAAAAATTTTGTTGAATAGTTTTTCCCAACCACAGATTTGTGCCATCTTCACTCCTAGGCCACTTAGCCACCTCAGATCCTCCTATTCCAAAGCTCCTACTCTTAGTTAATGGACACTAAAGTCTGTCTTTTCTCCATTTGCTCCAAGTCATCAGTCCTTCTCTTTCTCAGAATTCTTGTCTCCTATAGAGACCAACATGGGTCTTCTCACTGTATTTCTCAAAATTCTTATTTTATGGGCTGCTGTTTCTAAAACCCCTTTCCCTCTAACCCACACCACCTTTCTACTCACTGATGCCTTCAGGAAGCCATAATGGATGGCACAGAGATTGCTGTTTCCCCTCGGTCACTGCATTCAGAACTCATGTGCCCTATCTGCCTGGACATGCTGAAGAATACGATGACCACCAAGGAGTGCCTCCACAGATTCTGCTCTGACTGCATTGTCACAGCCCTACGGAGCGGGTAATAGGAGAGACATGTTTGAGATGAGATGAAGGGGTACAAAGTTAGGGCCCTCTCACTGGTCTTGGTTCAGCCTAGGCTTCAGTTCCCTTGACTGACCACTCAGGGCTTCCCTTCTCCTACCCCAGGAACAAGGAGTGTCCTACCTGCCGAAAGAAGCTGGTGTCCAAGCGATCCCTACGGCCAGACCCCAACTTTGATGCCCTGATCTCTAAGATCTATCCTAGCCGGGAGGAATACGAGGCCCATCAAGACCGAGTGCTTATCCGCCTGAGCCGCCTGCACAACCAGCAGGCATTGAGCTCCAGCATTGAGGAGGGGCTACGCATGCAGGCCATGCACAGGTGTGAGGGTCAGGAGAGAAGCAGAACTGATGGGATGGGTCCGTGGGTCAGTCCTTGTTGCCTGCTAGCTTCTAAGCCTCAGCATCCTAGGAGCTGACCACAGACTGATCATTAGGGCTGGAAATCATGGGTGTAAATTGCAGTTTCTTAGTAAACAACTGGCCCTGCTCTTCTTAAGAAAAATATAGGGCTGGGCACAGTGACTCACATCTGTAATCCCAGCACTTTGGGAGGTGAGGATGGGAGGATCACTTGAGCCCAGGAGTTTGAGACCACCTTGAATAACATAGGGAAATCTCATCTCTACAACAAATTAAACATTTAGCTGGGCATGGTGGCACATGCCTGTAGTCCTACCTTCTTGGGAGGCTGAGGTAATAGGATCACTTGAGCCTGGGAAGAAAGTGGATGTTGCAGTGAACCATGATCACACCACTGCACACTGCACTCCAGCCTGCTGGGCGACAGAACAAGGCCCTGTCACAAAAAAAAAAAAAGGAAAAATGTAGTTTACCCCATGACTTTCTAGAAGTTAGAACAGTAGAGCGATTTTGAGAATAAGCCCCGGATTCATACTGCTGGAAGTTAAATCACCTCCTAGGCCAGCATCTCTCAGTCTTTCATGTGTATCCAGATTACCTGTAGATCTTCAGATGCAAACTGTGATTCAGTAGGTCTAGAGTTGGGCCCGAGAGTCTGCATTTCACAAGCTCACAGGGGATGTGTATGCTGCTACCGCACTTTGAGAGGTGACAGCCTATGATCACTAACAAGTTACTTAACCTCTCTAAGCCTCAGTTTCCTCAGCCATAAAATAGAGGTAATATAATTACCTGTGTCATAGGATTCATTGTATTAGGTAAGGGGATTGGTGCAAAACACTTAGTATACTGAGTGCTTAGCACATTGTGTTTAATAAATATTAGGTATCGTCATTAGGATTTTTCTTATCTCTTAATTCTCTGAAGTTTAAAGTCTAAGCCCTTTATCCTGGATGCCTTCTAACCTTAACCACTTGCTTCTACAGGGCCCAGCGTGTGAGGCGGCCGATACCAGGGTCAGATCAGACCACAACGATGAGTGGGGGGGAAGGAGAGCCCGGGGAGGGAGAAGGGGATGGAGAAGATGTGAGCTCAGACTCCGCCCCTGACTCTGCCCCAGGCCCTGCTCCCAAGCGACCCCGTGGAGGGGGCGCAGGGGGGAGCAGTGTAGGGACAGGGGGAGGCGGCACTGGTGGGGTGGGTGGGGGTGCCGGTTCGGAAGACTCTGGTGACCGGGGAGGGACTCTGGGAGGGGGAACGCTGGGCCCCCCAAGCCCTCCTGGGGCCCCCAGCCCCCCAGAGCCAGGTGGAGAAATTGAGCTCGTGTTCCGGCCCCACCCCCTGCTCGTGGAGAAGGGAGAATACTGCCAGACGAGGTGAGGAGCCCTGTCTTTCCCCAGCCACTGAGAAACCAAAGATCACCTAGATTTCCATCAGAAGTGGGCTTTGCCCAAACCCAAAATACCACCCCAACCCAGAATCCATTTTGGAAAGCCCCTACCTCCAGTCCTCATCTGAGGCGCTCTGGCTCTAAGCCTGTCCTCCCTCCCATTCCAGGTATGTGAAGACAACTGGGAATGCCACAGTGGACCACCTCTCCAAGTACTTGGCCCTGCGCATTGCCCTCGAGCGGAGGCAACAGCAGGAAGCAGGGGAGCCAGGAGGGCCTGGAGGGGGCGCCTCTGACACCGGAGGACCTGATGGGTGTGGCGGGGAGGGTGGGGGTGCCGGAGGAGGTGATGGTCCTGAGGAGCCTGCTTTGCCCAGCCTGGAGGGCGTCAGTGAAAAGCAGTACACCATCTACATCGCACCTGGAGGCGGGGCGTTCACGGTGAGAGCTTCTGAGGGCAGTGGTAGAAGAGGGGAGAGGAGGGAGGGTGGTCTGGGCCACATAGAACCATGAGCCTGGTCTAACTCATCAGCACTCTTCCCCTATACATCCTCTATCTCTTTCTATGTCCCCTCTCCTTTCCCATCATCCATGTCCTTTTTTGCCTTATCGCTTTTATTATTCCTTTTTTCTTTCCTCCTCCCTTGGTCACCTTTTGCCTCTCATTCATTTCCTTTTCCATCTTCTCCAACTTTCCTCTCTCTTTTCCCCTCTCTCCCTTTTACCCCCTCCTCAGACGTTGAATGGCTCGCTGACCCTGGAGCTGGTGAATGAGAAATTCTGGAAGGTGTCCCGGCCACTGGAGCTGTGCTATGCTCCCACCAAGGATCCAAAGTGACCCCACCAGGGGACAGCCAGAGGAAGGGGACCATGGGGTATCCCTGTGTCCTGGTCTATCACCCCAGCTTCTTTGTCCCCCAGTACCCCCAGCCCAGCCAGCCAATAAGAGGACACAAATGAGGACACGTGGCTTTTATACAAAGTATCTATATGAGATTCTTCTATATTGTACAGAGTGGGGCAAAACACGCCCCCATCTGCTGCCTTTTCTATTGCCCTGCAACGTCCCATCTATACGAGGTGTTGGAGAAGGTGAAGAACCCTCCCATTCACGCCCGCCTACCAACAACAAACGTGCTTTTTTCCTCTTTGAAACCTGCAGTTCTGTGTGTCTGTTTATCAGGGGTGTACAAGAAAAAGAAAGGAAAATAGATTGGGGAGGGAGGCCTAGAAATAATGTAAAATCAGCCTTGGAAATGGGGAGAAAATGTCGGGTTATTCGAGATATGTCGTCGGAAACTCCAAATTAGCAAATATGTATGAAAATAGGAACCATCTATGAAGCTGGAAGAGAGGATAAAAAACAGAGGTGCCAAGTTAGACCCCAAACTTTCCCCCCTAAAACCTGAGTCGCCCAGGCTGAAATCCAGGGTTTCAACACCAAAGGGAAAGCAGGAAAATGGCTCAAAAGAGAAAGGGATGTGTGTAGATGTGGGAATGACCGTGATGTTTGGAAGTCACTGCGAGCAGCCGGTTTCTATAGCTGGAAAGAGGGAGGGAGGTGGAGAGGACTGCGGAGAAGCTCCCTGTTCGACATCCCAGTCCCCGGGCCACCTCCCAAAAAAGGGCAGGCTGGGCTGCAGACTCGGAGTGTGAGTGCACAGCCTTTGCCCGCCGGGCAGCGGGGCTGAGCGGAGGGAGGGTCGCCTGGGAACACTAGTTCTGTGCTCGTCCAGGCAGCGGCTGAGAGCAGAGGAGTGGGGGCATCAAGGAAAGCCGCGGCTGCCTTACTGGCCTCGAGTTCCGCGAGCGGGGCTGGGCACCAAGCCTGAGGCTGGGGGGACAGGGGCGCACGACTGCACTCCCGGTCCGGGGCAGTGCAGGTATTCGGGGAAGAGGAATCGCCTCTCCAGAACCGACTGCTGTTCCTTCCACCACCCGTAACCTCTCTGCCCCTCACTTCCTGTTTCCTCTGCTCTGGGTACCCCCAGCCCCTCTGGCCCCAAATTCCTCCCCCATGCTCAGTTCTCTGTCTCACTGGCAGAGGAGCCGGCCGTGTTTCCCCCTAAAGCCCGCTTGGCCCTCCCAGTTCCGCAGCTGCGCGGCCCGCCCGCCGATCCCATGGCTCCCTTCTCCACCCTTGGGATTTCTCGTTTGTTCGCCTCCTCTCCGGTACCCTCAATCCCGTAGATGCAGGTGGGCATCCTCCAGCCCCAGCAAGTACTGCGGACCAGTTGGGCTGGCTGGCCCCTTTCCTGCAGAAGCAGACAACACCCACTTCTACCCTCGTAGGAGCCCCTTTCTACACTCACTTCCCTGGAACCCGTGATCCTGACTCCCCTCCTCCCGGACCCCAAGCATCCAGGACGTGTACGGTATAAGGGGAAGTTGTAGTGGGAGGCAGGTGGGCGTTGTTCCTGGAGTTTCAGGGTAGAGAAGCAGGTGGGGAGGAGTTGGGTGAGATACAGAGGTGGAAGCCAAAAGTCTGGAGTTAACCTGACTTCTCTTCTGGCTCCAGGGGCTGCCGGGATCGTCTGTCCTCACCCTCCTTGTCCTCCCCAGCCCTAACCACCCGGCAGCCTCTTCTCTGTCTCTGCTGCCCGTCCTGCCTTCACTCTGAAACAGCCTGCCCCCTCCCGGGTCCCCAGTCCTCACCTTCGCCCCACACGCCCCCCTCTCTATTTATCACATTTCCTTTCGTGTCCCCCTAACCCCATCGCTTGGTGCGAGTGCTCTCTTGCCCTCCTCTCCCCATGACTGAACCTCACAGACATGGCTGTTTATTTAGGTGACACCATGTGGGAGACACAGAGGAACCCATTTCCATCCTGGCTCCACTGGGGCATTTCCTTTCCAAGTCCTTCAGTCCCTCCCAACCAAGCCTATGTTACTGGGTCAGGCAAGGTGAGAGATATAAAGTATGCAAAAGAAAACGTTACTATTTTGTTGAGGAACAAGATACATGTGGAATAGTTGACAATGCAGAGGAACAGGGTAGAGGAAGGAGGGTTGATACAGTATTAGAGTCAGACAAACGTGGGTTCAAATCGGCTCTGCCACTTACAAACTGAGCCACCTTGCACAAGGCACTGGGTCTTCCCTCTGTTTCTTCACCTGCAAAATGGGGGAGAGTAACAGGTTGCCCTGAGAATTGAGAGATAATACAAGTAAAGTTACACGCCTAACAGATCAGTGGCTCTCCCAGTGTGGATCCCAGACTAGCAGCATCAGCATCGCCTGGGAACTTGTTAGAAATGCAAATTCTTGGGCCCCACCCCAGATCTGCTGTTTAAGAAACTGGAGATGGGGCCAGCAATTGCATTTTCCCAAGCCCCCAAGTGCTTCTGATGTTCACACAAGGCTGAGGACACTGAAGAAGATGCCCCACAAAATGTTACGGCCTTGCCTTATACTATAAAGAATGGCAAAGGGCCCGTGTAGGGGTGCTCTGTGACTCCCAAGCAGGAGGATCACTGCAGGCCAGTAGGGAGGTGAGGAGCGGCCTCACAGAGGAGGTGGGACTGGGCTGGGGAAGGAAACAGAGAAGCCTTTCTGCAGTGGGTGAGGGAGATGGGGGGAAGCTCCCTCTCCCTTACCCTACCTACCACCCAGCACGATTTTACCTCTCAGGCTTCTCAGTCTCCAAAGCAGAGCAGACCATGTATCTGAACGCGGAAGCTGAGCTCTGGAGCCCAGAGCCTCAGGGCCCTGAGGGAAGGTTCCCCCAGGAGACCCCTGCCCAGGCAAGGCCTAACTCTGAGGGCCCTGTCCTTGCCTGGCAGCCCTCAACACCCTGGGAAGCTGCTCACAGGAGGCTGTGCTCTGGGCTTCTCCACCTTCACAGTCCACCTCAGCGAGGAGGGAGGTGCCGCTGAAACCGCCAACCACTTCTTCAGTTGGGTGTGGGGCATAGCCTCTCCTCTCCCACCTCTGTCTCCTCTGCTTCCTCCTCCCCCATGCTGCTCTCACCTCTCTCCCCTCTCCCTGCAGGCTGGGAGCAAAGGGAGAGGAGGAGGAGAAGAGAGGACAGACCCAGCCCTCTACCTACTATGGCACTCCTTTACCTGCCAGCTGTCACAACCAACCCTTCCCCAACTCCCCTACCCGGGACCCCCATCTCCACCCACAAATCCACTCAAATTTCCTGCCTGGAATGTGGAGTCTCTTCCCACTGCTCTCACCTCTCTCAGCACAGCCTGGGCAAGGGGCCCTTCTCCTCCCCCTAATATAGGAAGTACTTCAGCCAAGGGGCCCACCTGACCCTGTGCGAACACTTTCACACAGGTGATAGGCCCTACTCCTGCAGAAAGTGTGGCCACAGCTCTTGCCACAGCTCACACCTGGCCCAGCACTGCGGCACACACCTGCCTGAACCCAATCACTGCCACCAGCGTGGCAAGGGCCTCTCCCCAAGGCTCCAGCCCGTTGCAGCCTGCCACTCTACACACAGGCAAGCAGCCTTACGTCTGTGCCACCTAAGCCTTCTTGTGGTAGATGAGGGTGCTGGCCCCCACTCCAACCTGCAACACCAGCAGCAGAACCATACCTGGGGGCGTCCCCATCACAGTGACCAGTGAGGCAAGGGCTATGGACATTGCTCAGGGCTGGTGCAGCACCAGCAAGTCTGCAGAAGCAAAGGCTGCAGGCATGGTTTCTGATACAGCCCCAGGCTGGTGCAGCATCACCAGGGCCACATCAGGGACAGGCTCTACTGCTTGCCTCTGTGGCTGTGGTTTCACTTGGAACACCCACCTGCCATGACACCAGGCCTCATATGTGGAGAGGAATGAGATGAACACAGTGGGGAGGCAGGGAATCAGAGCCCCTGTGGCTGCATCACCGCCCCCAATCTGCAGCGCTCTATGAGGGTGGCAGGGCAGCCTCAGAGACAGACTTCCTCCACCTGTGGGAGGCATAACAGAGCAGAGATCCACCCACTCCCAGCCAGGGTGACCTTCAGAGCAACCATAAGGGGTAGCTCGAGTGTCTCGCCTGAACCCACTCAAAGCTGGAATGGCCAGGTCCACTTCACTCTAGACCAAAGTGCCAAGTCCTAAGGGAGCTCCCAAGCCAGGAACTTTTCTCTGGAGAAGAATCCATACTTCTCAGGGTCTTAAAAAATTTTGTTTTTTATATAAATAAGAGGTCCTGGGGCACTTTTCCATCTCCTGTCCTCCATCGGAGAAATTTCACTAGGCTGTCTCAGACGTGCTGTTGTCGTGGATGGATTAGACTCCTTGGGACTTTCTTGAAGGGTCATTTTAAAGTGATAGCTTAGGCTGGGCATGATGGCTCATGGCTGTAATTCCAACACTGTGGGAAGCCAAGGTAGGTGGATTACTTGAGGCCAGGAGTTCAAGACCAGCCTGACCAAACCTGGCAAAACCCTGGCTATACAAAAAACACAAAAATTAGCAAGGCGTGGTGGCCCATGCCTGTAATCCCAGCTACTCAGGAGGTTAAGGCATGAGAATCACTTGAACCTGGGAGGCGGAGTTTGCAGTGGCCGAGATCACGCCACTGCACTCCAGCCTGGGCGACAGAGTGAACCTCTATCTCAAAACAGAACAAACAAAGAAAAAAATGCCCTTAAGAGTTCTTTTATAAAAATAAAAACAGAAAAAAAATAGATAACTTAATTTCCAGAGATCTCCAGGACAACCCCCTACCATCAAATCCTAGTCCCCCAACTAATCCCACCCAACCCCCAGAGGCTACTGGGTTCTTCCTGCCTCAGGTGTTCACACTACACCCGGCGCCCCTATTTGATGAGCCATCTTCCTGTGCCTACTCCTTGCTTCACCAGGTCCTGTTCTTACGAGTTTACTGTTACTCTTCATGTTATAGGGTAAGTGAGACCTTATTCTTGTATTAACTTGCCCCAGAGTATACTCTTTGGAACTCGGCAATATTTCTCCCTATGATGTACCAAGGAGGTTGATTACTGACACATGCTAGAAGAAATTAAATACGCTTAGTGGTCAAAGGATTACTTGAGAGACTGCTAATCATTTCCACCCTTTCGGGAAATGTGTATTGAGTCTACCATGTGTCAGGAGTTGTTCTGGGACCTGGGTATCATAGTCATGTGGCATAGCCCCTGCCTTCGAAGGATTTGATGTAGGGGCGGTTTAGAATGAGCATCTCAATATTGAATCCAGCACCTAGTCCTATCCATTTTATCTGCTCTAATATATCTCAAGTCTGTCCACTCGTTTTCATCCCTCCACATCCCTGGGCTAGCCACCATGTGGACCATGTGGCCTTCTCTGAGTCATTGCAGTAGCTGAAGAGGCTGGGAATGGCCTTCTCTACAGTATGACACACACCTAAGAGGGATCCTTTAAAAATGCAAATCTGATTGTTTCAGTCAGCCTCCTTAAACCTATTCAGTGGTTTTCCATTGATCTTAGGTTAAAGACCCAAGTCCTTAACCTGACCTCTAAGGCCCTGCAAGGGGTGGCCCCTCCTCTCCAGCCTCATCTCCCACCACACCCCCTCACTCGTGTGCTCCAGTTGCTGTCCACCTTGTGCTTCCTCCTGCACAGAGTCTCCAGGGAGGCTGGACCCTCTGTGGAAAGGCTCCTTCCTCTGTTCCTCTCCTCTTAGCTCCTCTTCATTCTTCAGGCCTCACCTTCTCAATAGCCTCAGGGAAGCCTTCCTGACCTTCTTTTCAGGGTCAAATTCTCCTGTTATGAGCGCTCACACTAAGGTGTACCTTTCCTCAGAGGCACTTGGCCCTGTTGGAGTTCTACATTTGTTGATGATTATGTACAGACTGATGTCTGTCTGCCCCATTGAATGTAAGCTCCCTGAGGGCAGGGACTATGACTGCAGATGCTCACTCTTGCCACTCCCTGGACCTAACACTGGATACTTTATAAATAGTGGTTGAATAGATGCATTCATGGCAGGATCTGGGCAGGAGGCTAGATATTTCAGGATTTCAGAGGTGATGAATTAAGGCCATGATTCTCCCTCCTGTAGCTGCAGCCCAAGAATCCCATGTGCTATTACCTAACACTGTTACTTCCTCCTTAATTCCTGGCATCATTCAGGTCCACAGCCCTGCCTTCATCCCAGGCTTCCTCCATCTTGCCTGTGAGACCCTCTCCCTCTTTAACTTTTTAGTTCCCCTTTCTGGTTTTGCCTCATTGACTTCAGAAGCCAGCATGGAATAATGTCGCAAGACCCAGGATCCAGAACTGGAGGCCAGGTGCAGTGGCTCACTGCTAAAATCCCAGAATTTTGGGAGGCCAAGGCAAGAGGATTGCTTGAGCTCAGAAGTTCAAGACCAGCCTGGGCAACATAGTGAGACTTCGTCTCTACAAAATATTTTTTCAACTTTTATTTTAAGTTCCGGAGTACAAGTGCAGGATGTGCAGGTTTGTTACATAGGTGAACATGTGCTATGATGGTTTGCTGCACCTGTCAACCCATCACCTAGGTATTAAACCCGGTATCCATTAGCTATTCTTCCTGATGCTCTCCCTCCTGCCACTTCCCCTTCTGACAGACTTCAGTGGGTTATTGTTCCCCCCACCCACATGTGTCCAGGTGTTTTCATCGTTCAGCTCCCACTTATAAGTGAGAACATGTGGTGTTTGGTTTTCTGTTCCTGTGTTAGTTTGCTGAAGATAGTGGCTTCCAGTTCCATCCACATCCCTGTAAAGGACATGATCTCATTCCCTTTTATGGCTGCATAGTATTCCATGGTGTACGCATACTACATTTTCTTTTTTCTTTTTTTTAAGGTGGTGTCTTGCTCTGTCACCCAGGCTGGAGAGCAGTGGCACAATCTCGGCTCACTGCAACCTCTGCCTCCTGGGTTCAAGCGATTCTTCTGCCTCAGCCTCCCAAGTAGCTGGGACTATAGGCGAGTGCCACCACACCCTGTTAATTTTTGTATTTTTAGTAGAGACAGGATTTCACCATGTTGGCCAGGCTGGTCGTGAACTTCTGACCTTGTGATCTGCCCACCTCGGCCTCCCAAAGTTCTGGGATTACAGGTATGAGCCATCGTGCCCGGCATTTTTTTTTTTTTTTTTTTTTTTTTGAGATAGAGTCTCACTCTGTCACCCAGGCTGGAGCGCATTGGCACAATCTCAGCTCACTGCAACCTCTGCCTCCCGGGTTCAAGAAATTCTCCTGCCTCAGCCTCCTGAGTAGCTAGGATTACAGGCATTTGCCACCACACCTGGCTAATTTTTTTGTATTTTTAGTAGAGACAGGGTTTCACTATGTCGGTCAGGCTGGTCTCGAACTCCTGATCCACCTGCCTCAGGCTTCCTAAGTGCTGGGATTACAAGTGTGAGCCACCACGCCTGGCTGCATACTACATTTTCTTTACCTAGTCTTTCATTGATAGGCATTTGGGTTGACGCCATGTCTTTGCTATTGTGAATAGTGCTGTAGTGAACTACAAAATATTTAAAAATTAGCCAGGTGTGGTGGCTTGTGCCTGTAGTCCCAGCTACTTGGGAGGCTAAGGTGGTAAGGTTCGTTGAACCTGGGAGTTTGAGGCTGTAGTGCTCTATGATTGAGGCTGTGAATAACCACTGTATAGTGAGAACCTGTCTATTTCTTTTTTAATCTTTTTAATCTAGCTAACTAGGAATAGAAAGTAACTTCCAAAGTCAAGACAAGGATACCAGTTTTTACTGTTTCTATTCACCTTTCTGCCAAGAAGTCTGAAGTGACACAAGAAGAAAAAGAAGAAATAAAGCCATCACTATACATAGACAATTACTATACATAGATTGCTTACTATACAAAGAAAATTCACAAGAACCTACCAACTATTAGAAATAACAATTTCCTTGCCGGGGGCAAGGAGAATACACAAACATCAATATCCTTACACCACAGCAATAAACAGATAAAAGATTTCATTTTAGGCCAGGCATCGTGGCTCACGCCTGTAATCCCAGCTCTTCCGGAGGCCAAGGCAGGCGGATCATGAGGTCAGCAGATCGAGACCGTCCTGGCTAATACAGTGAAACCCCGTCTCTACTAAAAATACAAAAAATTAGCTGGGCGAGTTGGCAGGCACCTGTAGTCCCAGCAACTGGGGAGGTTGAGGAAGGAGAATGGCGTGAACTCAGTAGGCGGAGCTTGCAGTGAGCCGAGATTGCGCCACTGCACTCCAGCCTGGGCGACAGAGCGAGACTCCGTCTCAAAAAAAAAAAAAAAGAAAAGAAAATACCATTTGTCATAACAAAAATCATAAGATACTTAGGAATAAATATAACAAAGTCTGTGTATGATATTTATGGAGAAAATTATAAAGTTTTATTAGAGAACATAAAGAAGATATAAAAGAATAGGAAGAGATCCCCTACTCACAAAGACGGAAGTTTGATATAAAGCTGATAATTTTTCTCAAATCTAAAAATTCAGTACAATTCTAAGCAAAACTCCAATCAGATATTTTATGGAACTTGACAGACTGTTCTTAAAATTCTTTTTTTTTTTGAGACGGAGTCTCACTCTGTTACCGAGGCTGGAATGCAATGGCGCGATCTCGGCTCACTGCAAGCTCCACCTCCCAGGTTCAAGTGATTCTCCTGGCTCAGCCTCCTGAGTAGCTGGGACTACAGGTGCGCACCACCACGCCCGGCTAATTTTTTTGTATTTTTAGTACAGACGGGGTTTCACCATGTTGGTCAGGCTGGTCTTGAATTCCTGACCTCGTGATCTGCCCGCCTCGGCCTCCTCAAGTGCTGGGATTATAGGCATGAGCCACCACACCCGGCCTTAAAATTCTTATGGAAGAGTAAATGGCCAAGAAAAAACAAAACTTGAAGCAGAAGAATATGAGATCCCTTGCCTAACCATATGTCACAAGTTTACTGGTTGAAACTTAGAGTGATTAAAACAGTCTAGTCCTGGTATATGCACACATAAATAGACCACAGTACAGAACAAAACTTTTTTGAATCAGATCCTAATAGGGTTTGGATCTGTGTCCCTCCCTCTCCAAATCTCATGTCGAATTGTAATCCCCTTTGTTGGAGATGGGGTCTGGTGGGAGGTGATTGGATCATGGAAATGGATTTCCCACTGGGTGCAGTTCTCATGATAGTAAGTTATCATGAGACCCGGTTGTTTAAAAGTGTGTGGAGGCCAGGTGCAGTGGCTCTTGCCTATAATCCCAGCACTTTGGGAGGCTGAGGCAGGAGGATCACTTGAGCTCAGGAGGTCAAGACCAGCCTGGACAACATGCTGAGACATCATCTCTACAAAAATACAAAAATAGTAGCCGAGCATGGTGATGCATGCCTGTGGTCCCAGCTACTCAGGAGGCTGAGGTGGGAGGATCGCTTGAGCCCAGAGGGTGGAGGTTACAGTGAACTGAGATTGTGCCACTGCATTCCAGCCTGGGTAACAGAGCAAGACTCTGTCTCAAAAAAAAAAAAAAAAAAAGCGTGTGGCACCTCTTCCCTCTCTTCCTCCTGCTCCAGCCACGTAAGACATGCCTGCTTCCCTTTCACCTTCCACCATGATTGTAAGTTTCCTGAGGCCTCCCCAGCCATGCTTCCTATACAGCCTGTGGAACTATGAGCCAATTAAACTTTATAAATTACCTGATTTCAGGTATTTATCTATAGCAGTGCAAGAATGGACTAATACAGACCCTCAAAGATATGAGACTTGGCTATAATGGAAGTGACATAAATCAGTGGGAAAGTTCAATGGTTTTGAGTTAACTGGCTATCCAAACAAACACACAAAAAATAAATTCTACATTACATCCTACCCAGAAGTAAATTTCAGGTAGCTAGAGTAAAAAGCAAAACTGAAAACTATTCAAAGAAAATATAAGATCACATATTGATGATATCAGAATAGAGAAGGATTTCTTATACAAAATTTTAAAAGTACAAAAGTACAAGCAGTTAACAAAATGAAGAACACTATATGATTATATCAATAGATGGGGGAAAGGCGTTTGACAAAATTTAACATCCTTTCATGATACAAATTCTTAGCAAATTAGGTATAGAAAAAGTGTATCTCAACACAATAAAGCCCATATATGACAAACCCACAGCTAACATCATACATAATCATGAAAAGTTAAAAGATTTTCCTCTAAGATCAGGAACAAGACAAGGATAACCATTCTCACCATTTCTATTCAATATAGTACTAGAAGTTCTAGTCAGAACAGATAGGCAAGAGAAAGAAATACAAGACATCCAAATTGGTCAATGTTGACCAGGTTGGCCTCGAACTCATAGCCTCGCCTCCCTGTGCACCAGGACAGCTGGCTTGAGCCACTGATGCTCCCTAGGCATCCAAATTGGAAAGAAAGAAGTTAAATTGTCACTTTGTAGATGACATGATCTTATATAGAGAAATCCCTAAAGATACCACCAAAAAAACTATTAGAACTAATAAATTCAGTAAAGTTGCAGGATACAAAATCAATATTCAAAAGTCAGTAGCATTACTGTATACTAATAATGCACCAACCAAAAAAGAAATCAAGAAAGCAATCACATTTATAATAGCATCAAAAATATATACTTAGGAATAAATTTAATCAAAGAGGTGAGAAATCTGTACACTGAAAACCATAAAGCATTGAAGAAAGAAATTAAAGACACAAATAAATGGAAAGATATTCCATGTTAATGGATTGGAAAGATTAATATTGTTAAAATGTCCACACTACCCCAAACTGTAGATTCCATCCAACCTCTATCAAAATTCCAATGACATTTTCACAGAAATAGAAAAAAAATCCTAAGATTCATATGGAACCACAAAAGACAAGGACCAAAATGGCCAAAGCAATCTTGAACAAAAGGAACAAAGCTAGAGCCATCACACTACCTAATTTCAGAAGCTGCCACAAAGCTATAGTAATAAAAACAGCATGGTTCTGGAACAAAAACAGACATATAAGACCAGAATAGAGGCCAAAAATAAATCCACACATTTTATGGCCAACTGATCCTTTACAAATATGCCAAGAACATACAATGGGGAAAGGACCAGTCTCCTCAATAAACAGTCCTGGGGAAACTGGATATCCACATGTAGAAGAATAAAATTTGACCATATCTCACCTCATATACAAAAATCAACTCAGGCCAGGCATAGTGGCTCACATCTGTAATCCCAGCACTTTGGGAGGCTAAGGCCAATGGGTTACTTGAGGCCAGGAGTTCGAAACCAGCCTGGCCAACATGGTGAAACCTACCAAAAACACAAAAATTAGCCAGGGGTGGTGGCACACACCTATAGTCCCAGCTACTCAGGAGGCTAAGGCACAAGAATTACTTGAATCTGGGAGGCAGAGGTTGCCAAGACCACACCACTGCACTCCAGCCTGAAGAACAGAGAGAGACTGCCTCCAAAAAAAAAAAAAAAAAAAAAAAAAAAACTACTCAAAATGAATTAAAGACTTAAACATAAGATCTGAAATGGCGGGGTGCGGTGGCTTACACCTATAATCCCAGCACTTTGGGAGGCCAAGGCAGGTGGATCATAAGATCAAGAGATTGAGACCATCCTGGCCAACATGGTGAAGCCCCATCTCTACTAAAAATACAAAAATCAGCTGGGTGTGGTGGTGCACACCTGTAGTCCCAGCCACTCAGGAGGCTGAGGCAGGAGAATTGCTTTTCTCCTATATTTTCTTCTAGTATTTTTACAATTTCAGATCTTTTTTTTGAGATGGAGTCTCGCTCTGTTGCTGGGCTGGAGTGCAGTGGCATGATCTTGGCTTCTTGACATTGGTCTGGGCAATAATTTTTTTGGACAAATGAGATTGCATCAAATGAAAGCTTCTGAACAGCAAAGGAAACAATCAACAGACAACCTACGGAAAGGGACAAAATATTTGTAAACTATACATCTGATAAGGGGTGAATATTTTTATAAGAAACTTAATAGCAAGAGTTGTTGAAAACCAAAAATCTGATTTTTTTTCTTTAAGTTGGGGTCTCACCCTGTTGCTCAGGCTGGAATACAGTGCCGCAATAATAACTCACTGCAGCCTTCAACTCCCAGGCTCAAGCAATCCTCCCACCTCAGCTTCCCAAGTAGCTGGGACCACAGGCACACCCCACCGTGCCCTGCTAATTTTTAAAATTTTTTTGTAGAGACAGGGTTTCCCTATGTTGCCCAGATTTATCTTGAACTCCTAGGCTCAAGTGATCCTCCTGCCTTGGCCTCCCAAAGTGCTGGAATTACAAACATAAGCCACTGCATCCAGCCAAAAATCTGATTTTACAATGGGCAAATGATCTGAAAAAACATTTCTCAAAAGAAGACACATAAATGGCCAACAGGTATATGAAAAACAAATGCTCAATATTGCTAATTATCAAGGAAATGAACATTTAAACCACAGTGAGATATCACCTCATACCTGCTAAGATGGCTCTGATAAAAAAAATAAAAATAAACCAAGAGATTACAAGTGGTGGCAAGGATGTGGAGAAAAAGGAACCCTCACAAACTGTTGGTAGGAATGTAAATTTGTACACCTATTTTGGAAAACAGAATGGAGCTTCCTCAAAAAATTAAAACTACCATGTGATCCAGTAGTTCCATTATCAGGTATATTTCAAAAGAAATGAACTCAGTATGTTGAAGAGATATCTGTATTCCCAAGTTCACTGCACCATTATTCACAATAGCCAAGACATGGAAACAACCTAAGTGTCCATCAATGAATAAATAGAGAGATTATGGAACATATACACAATGGAATACTATTCAGTCTTTAAAAAGAAGGAAATTCTGTCATCTGTGACAACATGGATAAAACTAGAGGATATTATGCTAAATGAAATAAACCAGGCACAGAAAGACAAATACCATGATTTCATTTACATGTGGAACCTAAAGAGTCAAACTCAGCCAGGCATGGTGGCACGTGCCTGTAGTCCCAACTACTCGGGAGGCTGAGGCAGGAGGATCTCTTGAATCCAAGAGTTTGAGGCTGCAGTGAGCTGTGATCAGACCTCTGGACTCCAACCCAGACAACAGAGTGAGACCCTGTCTCAAAATAAATTTAAAAAAATAAATAAATAAAATAAAATTGCAGAAGCAGAGAATAGAATGGTGGCTGCACAGGGGCTAGGGGGCGGGGGGCGGGTGTGGGCAGGGATTGGAGAGCTTTAGTCAAAGGATACAAAATTTCAGTTAGGTAGAATAAATTCAGGAGATCTATTGTATAACATGATGACTAGAGTTAATAACAATGTATTGTATACTTGAAAATTGCTGGCCAGCTGCAGTGGCTTATGTCTGTAAACCCAGCACTTTGGGAGGCTGAGGTGGGTGGATCGCTTGAGACCAGTTCGACACCAGCTTGGGCAACATGGTGAGACCCCATCTCTAAAAAAAATACAAAAATTAGCTGGGCGCAGTGGCTCATGCCTGTAATCCTAGCATTTCGGGATGCCGATTGCTTGATTGCTTGACCCCAAGAATTCAAGACTAGCCTAGGTAACATAGTGAGACCCTGTCTCTACAAAAAATTGAAAAAATTAGCAGGATGTGGTGGCACGTGCCAGTAGTCCCAGCTACTTGGGAGGCTGAGAAGAGAAAATCACTTGAGCCTGGGAGGTCCAGGCTGCAGTGAGCTATAATCTTGCCACTGCACTCTAGCCTGGGCGACAGAGCAAGATCCTGTCTCAAAAAAAAAATAAAAATAAAAATAATTGCTAGGAGAGTACATTTCAAATATCACGTTTAAAATGATAGTATGTGAGATAACAGATACAGTAATTACTCTAGCCATTACACACACACACACACACACACATATATATACACACATCATGTTGTTACACCATAGATACAATTTTTATTTGTCGACTATAAATAAATGCACAAGCAATAAAGGAAAATATTGATACATATGACCACGTTAAAACATTTTTAAGCTTTTATAAGAAATCACATAGGCCGGGCGCGATGGCTCAAGCCTGTAATCCCAGCACTTTGGGAGGCCAAGGCGGGTGGATCACAAGGTCAGGAGATTGAGACCATCCTGGCCAACATGGTGAAACCCCGTCTCTACCAAAAATACAAAAAAATTAGCTGGACGTGGTAGTGGGTGCCTGTAGTCCCAGCTACTCGGGAGGCTTAGGTAGGAGAATGGCGTGAACCCATGAGGCGGAGCTTGCAGCGAGCCGAGATTGTGCCACTGCACTCCAGCCTGGGCGACAGAGCAGGATTCCGTCTCAAAAAAAAAAAAAAAAGAAATCACGTAAAGTAAAAGACAAGCCACAGACTTAGAGAATATTCACAATCTACATAAACAACAAAGGATTATATCCAGGATTCATAAAGAAGTTGCAGATCCATATGAAAAGGACAACGCAAGAGAATATGAGCAAAAGCTGTGAATAGGTGAGTCACAAAAGAGAAACCTAATGGTCAATAAACATAAGAAAAGATGCTCAATTTAACCAGTAATGTAGAAATGCAAATCACAGCGCGAGTTACCATTTTACACCCACAAAATCACCAAAATTAAAATTATTCTAACACTGTTGACAAAAATGTGGGACAATAGGAATGCATATATTTTGTGTTGAAGTGTAAACAGATACAACAAATTTGAAGAGAATTTTGGCACCAGTTAATGCTGAAAATGAATATTCCCTATGACCCAGCAATCTTGCTTCTAGATCTATTCCTTAGAAAAACATTTCTACACATGCACAAAAAGGCGAGGATAAAAATGGTCATTGCAGTATCAGTTAATTGTCAAGAAGAAGTGGAAATAAGCTAACTGTTGTTAAGTAAAATGGATAAATAAAGTATGGTTTGTTCTTATAATGGGATACTATACGGCAGTTAAATGAATTATAGACATATTTAGCAATGTAATGAGTAAGAAACTTGCAAAAATGGATGTTGTATGATATTATTTGTGTGAGTTTTAAAATACACAAAACAGTGGTATATGTTTAGGAAAGCAAACATTTTTTAAAAGTGCAAAGTACGCATGGGAATAATTCCCAACAACTTTAGAATGATAATTACTACAAGGAAGGAGAGAAATGGGATGGGCGTTAACCGAATTTGTAATCCATTTTTTTTATTTTTAATTTTAAAGAAAAGTGATACAAAGCAGGCGATGCAAAGGTGAGGATTTGCTTAACTGGGTTGCTGTGATCATGAAATGAGCCAATCAATGGGACAGTGCTGAATGAAAGTTGTTGCCAGTCTCTTTAGAAGGGTACAATGATGGTGGCTGTGCAGGTGGAGAGATGTGATTTCCTGACCTATTCTCTCCTCCGCCCTGTGTTGAGTCTCACGCCTCCTATTGGACGGTATAAATTGGTATAAATCTTTTTTTTTTTTTTTTTTTTGAGACAGAGTCTCACTGTCACTCAGGCTGGAGCGCAGTGGCATGATCTCAGCTCACTGCAACCTCCGCCTCCCAGATTAAAGCGATTCTCCTGCCTCAGCCTCCTGAATAGCTGGGATCACAGGCAGCCGCCACCATGTCCAGCTAATTTTTGTATTTTTAGTAGAGACGGGGTTTCACCATGTTGGTCAGGCTGGTCTCAAACTCCTGACCTCGTGATCCGCCCGCTTTGGCCTCCCAAAGTGCTGGGAACAGGCATGAGTGACCACGCCCGGCTGATATAAATCTTAACAGCTACATGCCCCAATTTCCTCACCTACAAAATGTGTATATTCAAAGTGCTACCTAATAGCATTGTCGTGAGAGTAAATAAGTTGTGTGAAGTGCTTTAGAACACTTACCTGGCTTAGAGTAACTGCTCTAGGCTACTGTTTTTGTTGTTGATGCTGTTATTATGGTTGTTGTTAGGTATCACCTCCAGCTGCATATAAACTCTTTTTTAATCTCAACTTCTAAAAATCTCATAAGAACCTTACTTGGCAACGAAAGTGCCCCAAAACTGAGAAGACCCAGACTCTTCCTTCAATGATCTAGATCAATTTGCACCTCAAATTCCTGTAAGGGCCAGGCAAGTAATGTGCCAAGTGCCAAGGGAAGGCTATAACAGGCTGGAGGGCACCCTCCCCTCCTAGAGGGGCAGCAGCTCCTGGTCCAGCGTTGCCGCATAGGAATTCAGAGCTGGCACTGCCGTGATAAATTGAAAATCTCAATTTTTCTGTAAAATCACTCTTTTTATTTTTCCTTTTTTTTTTTGGCAGGATCTCACGTTGTCACCCAGGCTGGAGTACAGTGCCATGATCCCAGTTCACTGCAGCTTTGACCTCCCAGGTCCAAGTGATCCTCCCATCTCAGCCTCCCAAATAGCTGGGACTACAGGTGTGTGCTGCCACACCTGGCTAATTTTGTATCATATACATATATATATAAACATACACATACACATATGTATATATACATGTATACATATGGGTTCAAGCATTCTTCTGCTAATTTTTTGTATTTTTAGTAGACGTGGGGTTTAACCATGTTGGCCAGGCTGGTCTCGAACTCCTGACCTCAAGTGATCCACCCGCCTTGGCCTCCCAAAGTGCTGGGATTACAGGCATGAGCCATCGCACCCAGCTAATTTTTTTAGTTTTTGTAGAGAGATGGTCTCACTATGTTGTCCAGGCTGGTCTCAAATTTCTGAGCTCGAGTGATCCTCCCACCTCAGCCTCCCAAAGTGCTGGAATCTCAGCCATGAGACACGGCATCTGGACAAAATATAAATGATAATGAATACACATCAATATTTTAAATCAAACACATTTAGATAAAGCTGACTTTTTGCCTGCTTTTTTTTGAAATTTTGGGCTGGGCCCAGTAGCTCACACCTGAAATCCCAGTGTTTTGGGAGGTCAAGGTGGGCAGACTGCTTGAGCCCAGTGTTTTGAGACCCCCCTGGGCAACATGGTGAAATGCCATCTCTACAAAAAATAGAAAACTTAGCCGGGCATGGTGGCACACATATGTGGCCTCAGCTACTCTGGAGGCTGAGGTAGAAGGATTGCCTGAGCCTGGGAGGTTGAGGCTGTAGTGAGCCATGATTGTGCCACTGCACTCCAGCCTGGTGACAGAGTGAGACCCTGTCTCAAAAAAATATATACATATTTATTAATTTTTATTATGTATTGCTATGGCATAAATGTTTGTGCCCCCCTAAAATTCATAAATTGAAACCTAATCCCCAATGTGGTGATATTAAGAGATGGGGCCTTTAGAAGGTGATTAGGTCATGAGGGGCCTGTCCTCATGAATGGGATTAATGCCGTTATAAAAGAAGCCCAGGCTGGGTGCGGTGGCTCATGCCTGTAATCCTAGCACTTTGGGAGGCTCAGGCGGGCTAATCATTTGAGGTCGGTAGTTCAAGACAAGCCTGGTCAACATGGAGAAACCCCATCTCTACTAAAAACACAAAAATTAGCCAGTCATGGTGGCAGGCATTTGTAATCCCAGCTATTCAGGAGGCTGAGGCAAGAGAATCACTTGAACCCTGGAGGCAGAGCTTGCAGTAAACCGAGATCACGCCACTGCACTCTAGCCTAGGTGACACAGCGAGACCCTGTCTTAAAAAAAAGAGGCCCAAAGGAGCTTGTTTGCCCCTTCCACCCGTGAAGATGCAGCAAGAAGGCGCCATCTATGAAGCAAAGTGTGCCCTCACTGGCTACCAAATCTGCTGGCACCACCTGCTTGGACATTCTAGCCTCCAGAACTGTAAGCAGTGTTTATTATTTATAAATTGCTCAGTGTAAGGTATTTTGTTATAGCAGTCTGAATGGACTAAGACAGATAGTTTTATAAAAATTAAACTACAGTTGGCATTTTGTATCTGTAGGTCCACACCTATGGATTCAACCAACTGAAGAATAAAAATATTTTTAAAATATATATGGCCAGTCCGGGCGCGGTGGCTCACGCCTGTAATCCCAGCACTTTGGGAGGTCAAGGCGGGTGGATCACAAAGTCAGGAGATCAAGACCATCCTGGCTAACGCGGTGAAACCCCATCTCTACTAAAAATGCAAAAAAATTAGCCGGGCATGGTGGCGGGCACCTGTAATCCCAGCTACTTGGAAGGCTGAGGTAGGAGAATGGCGTGAACCTGGGAGGCAGAGTTTGCAGTGAGCTGATATCCTGCCATAGCACTCCAGCCTGGGTGACACAGCAAGACTGTCAGAAAGAAAGGAAGGAAGGAAGGAAGGAAGGAAGGAAGGAAGGAAGGAAGGAAGGAAGGAAGGAAGGAAGGAAAGAAAGAAAAAATAATACAAATAAAAAATACAGTATAACATATATTTATACAGCATTTACATTGCGATAGGCACCATAGATAACCTAGGGATGATTTAAAGTATGTGGAAGAATGTGCATAGGTTATATGCAAATACTATGCCATGTTATACAAGGGGTTTGAACATCAGTGGGGGTTTTGGAATCAATCCCTGGTGAATACTGAGGATGATTGTATTCATAATCTCGTATTCAATGTCCATCTATTACAACATAGAGAATCAATATCATACTTCACAAGAGTTATATCTAGACCTACATGTATTCAATTTTTTTTTCAATAGGCTTTTGGGGAACAGGTGGTGTTCAGTTACATGAATAAGTTATTTAGTGGTGATTTCTGAGATTTTGGTGCCCCCATCACAGGAGGAGTGTACACTGTAAATGTGTAGTTTTTTATCCCTCACCACCCCTCCCACCACATGCATATAAATTTAACAGTAATAAGGATTGTTTAATACAGCAACATGTTCCTCAGCTATCCTTTGCAACTGTTGTAAATGCAGCACAACATACATCCATACCTCTAAAACAAAGAGAAACAAGAAAAACCACACTCAACACTATTGGGAAATGATACTTTGTCATGCTATTTGAGAGGTAATATTTAACAAGCTGGTTAAAGTGATTTCACTTACATGTTTCCACTGCTTAAATCCTCCCTACACTCCAAAGCAGTACATGCTTCAGAATCCAGGCAGAGGCACAACCTCAGATTTTCACAGAATTGGCTATAGTCATCTTTTGTTTCCAGGATACAGGGCAAGAGATTACAGAAGTCACCATTCCCCAGGGCTTGAACGGCGTTGATTACAAGAGCAGATGTGTAAGATTTCAGGTTGTGCTGTTCCAGCACTGACAGCAGATCAGTGACAGAGGTGCCCAGGTGTCATGTAATAAATGTGTGTGATAAGTTGTTTGTGATAGGTGAATCCCCCTAAAGTATGTGGGCCAGGGCAGGGCCCCTGTGGTTCAGATCTGAGGATGATACTGCTTCTGTGGGAAGATCATGACTTCTGTTTCAAATATGCTAAGTTAAGCTGGGCACCGTGGCTCATGCCTGTAATCCCAGCACTTTGGGAAGCTGAGGCAGGTGGATCACCTGAGGTCAGGAGTTTGAGACCAGCCTGGCCAACATGGTGAAACCCCATCTCTACTGAAAATACAAAAAGTTTGCCGGGTGTCGTGGCGGATGCCTGTAATCCCAGCTACTCCGGAGGCTGAGGTAGGAGAATCACTTGAACCCAGGAGGCGGAGGTTGCAGTGAGCCAAGGTCTTGCCACTGCACCCCAGCCTGGCCAACAAGAGCGAAACTCTGTCTCCCAAAAAAAAAAAAAAAAAAGCTAAGTTAGTAATACCTTTGGGACATCCAAGTAGGGATGCCAGGCAGGAAGGTGGTCAAATCTGGAGATTTGAGGCAAGAGATAAATTTGAGAGTAACCAGCTGATGGGAACTGAAGCCACAGGACAGGTGTGATCCCCTAGAAGGAAAGGGTAGCATAAGAAGAGGAGGGTCCAGGACCGACCTCTCTTGATGAACTCCAATATGACCAGGTGATTTCAGTCAAAGGCGGAGTGAGCCGGCTGAGGGGTGGAAGAGCAGCCGATGGAGGGATGGGAGGAAGCCAGAAGAGGCCAAATCCTGGAGGCCAAAAAACGACAGTGTTTCAAGAAAGAACTGGCCAGCAACGTCAGCTACTAGTGGCAGTTCAAGTAAGAAGAAAACGAAACAATGGACTTAATGACATAAAGTTCATTGCAAAAAAACATTTGAGTAGCAGCAAGGTAGAGATAAACACCAGCCTGAAAGGGTCGAGCAGTGAGTGGAAGTGAGAGAATTTTGCCCAGTTTTTTTATTATGAAAAATTTCAAACATACAGAAAACTTGAAAATATAATACAATATTGTTTGTATGTCGATCATTTTACTTAGATTTAACAATTGTTATTTATACATATATACAAATATTTATATATTATATATATACAAACATATATATATACACACACATATATATATGGTTCTTTTTTTTTTTTTCCAAGACAGGGTCTCACTTCATCGCACAGGGTGGAGTGCAGTGACCTGATCATAGCTCATCTCAGCTTCAAACTTTTGGGCTCAAGCGATCCTCCCACCTCAGCCTCTCAAGTAACTGGGGCCACAGGTGCATGGCACCATGCCCGGCTAATTTTTAAATTTTTTGTAGAGACAAGGTATCGCCTTGTTGCCCAGCTGGTCTCAAACTGGACTCAGGTGATCCTCTTGCTTTGGCCTCCCAAAGTTCTGGGATTACAGACATGAGCCACAGTGCCAAGGCCTATATACGTCTTTGTGGGCTTGTTTTTAGTTTTTTGTTTTGAGATGGAATTTCGCTCTTGTTGCCCAAGCTGGAGTGCAATGGCGCGATCTCGGCTGTACGCAACCTCCGCCTACTGGGTTCAAGCAATTCTCCTGCCTCAGACTCCCGAGTAGCTGTGATTACAGGCATGCGCCACCACGCCAAGCTAATTTTGTATTTTTACTATAGATGGGGTTTCTCCATGTTGGTCAGGCTGGTCTTGAACTTCCGACCTCAGGTGATCCGCCTGCCTCAGCCTCCCAAAGTGCTCGGATTGATTACGGGCATGAGCCACTGTGCCCAGCCCTTTTTTTTTTTTTTTAAACATAGAAATTGTTGAGTGACTACTAAAACATTCTTGGACCATATGAAAATATAGGAAAGCATGTGCTTCACACCTAAGTACCTCAGCATGCATCTCCCAAAAATAAGGAGATTCCATAACCACAATACGTAATCACAGCTAAGAAAATAATGATCATGGCCAGGCACGGTGGCTCACACCTGTAATCCCAGCATTTTGGGAGGCTGAGGCAGGAGGATCACAAGGTCAACAGATTGAGACCATCCTGGCCAATATGGTGAAACCCCGTCTCTACTAAAAATACAAAAATTAGCCGGGCGTGGTGGTGCATACCTATAATCCCAGCTACTTGGGAGGCTGAGGCAGGAGAATTGCTTGAACCCAGTAGGGACAGGTTGCAGTGAGCTGAGATTGCGCCACTGACCTCCAGCCTGGTGACAGAGCAAGACTCAGTCTCAAAAAAAAAAACAAAATTAGAAAATAACGATCATTTCTTCACTTCATCTGATAGCAGAATATACTCAAATATTCCCCAGTTAGCCTCAAAATGTCTTTTATATATATATTTATATATATATATATCTTTCTTTTTAATTTCTTTCCTTCCTTTCTTCTGTTTTTCCTTCCTTCCTTCCTTCCTTTCTCTCTCTCCTCCCTTTCCTTCCTTCCTTTCCTTCTTTCTTTTTTGACTGGGTCTCACTGTCACCCAGGCTAGAGTGCAGCAGTGCAATCACAGCTCACTACAACCTCCACCTCCCAGGCTCAAGTGATCCTCCCACCTCAGCCTCCTAAGTAGCTGGAACTACTATTTAGGTGTGACCCACCACACCTGACTAATTTTTGTATTTTTTTTTTTTGTAGAGACAGGGTTTTTCTCTGTTGCCCAGGTGGGTCTTGAACTCCTGAGCTTAAGTAATCCACCTGCCTTGAACTCCTGAGCTCAAGCAAAGTGCTGGAATTACAGGCGTGAGCCACTGCATCCAGCCTATGCATATATTTCAAATCAGGATCAAATCAAGGTACATGCGCTGCATGCATTGTGTTCCTCTTGGAGGGGTGTGGATCTGGTGACAGATGGTTGAGGGAGCTCACCTCTGATGACTTTCATTTTCTCTGTGACATAAGAGGGAGGTCATCAAGTGAGCATGAGGTGAGAGACAGAAGAGCCTCAGAGGTTCAAGGATCAGGGAGGTTTAACGTAGCCATTGACCAGAGTGATGTGGTTGGGCCACTAAACAATTCTGGGAGCCTCCTTAGAGTTCATGATCATGAGTGAGGAGTGGGAACCATTTCCTGATTGTGTGATTTCCCCCACCACCACCAACAGTTCTTGGCTATCAGAGTAAAATCCTGAAGAAAACAGATCACTGGGCTCATCCAGGGTTGGGGTTTTGCCACTTGGGTACAAAGGATGAAAATACAGAGGGGAAGGGGAGTTGGCGATATTGTCCAGAGAGGTGTTGAAATGAAGGGTTGTGGAGTTGAGCTGAATAGGGAGGGGCTCATAAGCTGGAAGACGGAAGGCATCATTGATCCAAAGGTCCTAGGAGACTGAAAATTGGTTGCGAGGAGGGCAGACAGACTGATGGACAGACGGTTAGGAGGTGGGGGCCAAGAGCAGGCTGCTTGACTGATTCTCAAGGAGGGGCTCTTTCAGGTGATAAGGTCCAGGGTATGACAATGAGAATGTGTGGCCGAGTTGGAGAGGAGAAGATTCTTGGGGATTAAGTGGCCAGGTTATTGAGAGGTCAAGTAGGGAATGGATCCTCCAGGTGGACAATGAAGTCTCCCAGAGGGAGGACTCAATGCAAAGACAGACGGTCAGCTGGGCCAGCGTTCCCCTGAGTGAGGTGGAGGGGTCTGGCAGACAGTAGCAGTGAGAAAGGAAGAGGAAAGTTTAGCCTAATTGCAGTGCCTGGAAGGCCGCGGGTTATTTTAAACTAGAGTTGGGGGCTGGGGGAGGAGTAGTCCGGAGGCAGCAATCTGAAGCCAGGAGAGCACCCTCAGCTGTAAGAAAATCAACAGCTCTCATTTCAGAAGCCTGCAAAGGAGGTAGTGCCCTCAAGGGAGAGTTAAATTTCACTTAACGCCAGGAAGTGGAGGGAATGCTCCAAGGAGAAGCTAAGGGTATGAGGGGGGCTGCAGTTTATTAGAGGGCACAGGCAGGTTAGGGAGGGGGAAAGTGGAGGGCTGAGTCAGAGCCAGAAGGTACAGAGTGTCATGGAGACACAGTGCAATAGAGTAGGTGGGCTTGGGAGTTTATGTTTTCACTATGAAATGATAAAAACAAGGACAGGAGGCAGGCTGGATTTCACCCAGTTAGTTTCTTGGAAGCTGTAAAAAGTGGCGTTTAAGAATGTAGCCTTGGCCAGGCACGATGGCTTATGCCTGTATCCCAGCACTTTGGAAGGCCAAGGCAGGCGGATCGCTTGAGGTCAGGAGTTTGAGACCAGCATGGCCAATATGGTGAAGCCCCGTCTCTATTAAAAATAGAAAAAACAGCCAGGAGTGGTGGCAGGTGCCTGTAATCCCAGCTACTCGAGAGGCTGAGGCAGGAGAATTGCTTGAACCCGGGAGGCGGAGGTTCCAGTGAGCCAAGATCACGCCACTGCACCACTCCAGCCTGGGGGACAGAGCAAGACTCGTCTCATTAAAAAAAAAAAAAAAAAGAATGTAGCTTCAGGCGGGGTGCAATAGCTCACGCCTCTAGTCCCAGCACTTTGGGAGGCCAGGAGTACAAGACCAGCCTAGCAAACATGGTGAAACCCCATCTCTACTAAAAAAAATACAAACATTAGCCAGGTGTGGTGGTATGCACCTGTAATCCCAGCTACTTGGGAAGCTTAGGTAGGAGGATGACTTGAGCCCAGAAGGTGGAGGTTGCAGTGAGCCAAGATGGTGCCACCACACTCCAGCCTGAGCAACAAAGCCAGACCCTGTCTCAAAAAAAAAAAAAAAAAAGAAAAGAAAAGAAAGAAAAGGAAGGAAGGAAGGAAGGAGAGAGAGAGAAAGAAAGAAAAGATAAAGAAATAAAGAAAGAAAGGCAGGCAAGAAAGTGGCTTCTAAAGCAGAACTGGCTGCATTCCAATTCCAGCTTTGTCATGCACTAACTGTCCTGTCTATAACCTTGGCAAGGTCTCTGGGCATCAATTTCCTCTCTGTAAAATGGGGATAACACTAGTACCCACCTCACAGGGTTGCTGTGACAATTCAAAGATGCAATGTGTTAAATGTTGATATGGTTTGGATCTGTGTCCCCACCAAATCTCATGTAGTCCCAGTGTTGGAGGTGGAGCCTGGTGAGAGGTGGTTGGATTATGGGAGTGGATTCTCACGAATGGTTTAGCACCATCCTCCTGGTGCTGTTCTCATGATAGAGAGTTCTGGCAAGCTCTGGTTGTTTAAAAGTGTGCCGCACCTCCTCCCTCTCTCTCGGCTCCTGCCATGTGAGAAGGCTCGCTCCTCCTTTGCCTTCTGCCATAATTGTAAGTTTCTGGAGACCTCCCCAGAAGGCAAGCAGATGCCAGCATCATGCTTCCTGTACAGCCCACAGAACCATGAGCCAATTAAACCTCTTTTTTTTTTTGAGATAGGGTCTTGCTCTGTCGCCCAGGCAGTGGCGCAATCACAGCTCACTGTAGCCTCTACCTTCTGGTCTGAAGAAATTCTCCCACCTCAGCTCCCCAAGTAGCTAGAACCACAAGCACATGCCACCATACCCAGCTAAGTTTTGAATTTTTTATAGAGACGGGTTTTTGCCATGTTGCCCAGGCTGGTCTCAAACTCTTGAGCTCAAGTGATTAACCCTCCGGCCTCAGCCTCCCAAAGTGCTGCTAGGATTACAAGCATGAGCCACTGTGCCCAGCAAACATCTTTTCTTTTCTTTTTTTCCGAGACGGAGTCTTGCTCTGTCACCCAGGCTGGAGTGCAGTGGCATGATCTTGGCTCACTGCAACCTCTGCCTCCCCGGATCAAGTGATTCTCCTGCTTCAGCCTCCCAAGTAGCTGGGATTACAGGTGCTGGCCACCATGCCCGGCTAATTTTTGTATTCTTAGTAGAAACGGGGTTTCACCATATTGGCCAGGCTGGTCTCAAACTCCTGACCTCAAGTGATCCACCTGCCTCAGCCACCCAAAGTGCTGGGACTACAGGCATGAGCCACCGCGCCCGGCAACCTCTTTTCTTTATAAGTTACCCAGTTTCAGGTATTTCTTTATAGCAGTGCGAGAAGGGACTAATGCAAATGTTTACAACAGTGCGCAAATATTTATAACAGTGCTTGGGCTGTCACCTCAGACACACTTGGTGGAGCCTTGCAGGCCCAGCAGAGCAGCCTCTTTGATTACCTGAACCCTGCCCCTGGCTAGGTAGGAAACATGAAGTGGATGATAATGATGACTTGATGAGCAGTTGTGAATGCATAAATTATATGGAGACACTAAGGACTGCAACAGACAAGAAGATCTCAGTGACAAACGGGTTATTTAGGGCAGCAGCCAACTGACTCCCACAATGAGTGGGATCTGGACAAGAAGGCGTGGTTTCCCAAGGCCACTGAAGGTTTCATTGCTACATACCCAGCCAAGTGTGGCTTTTCTAATGGTGGGGCATCTAGCTCTCCTGCAAATGTACAAAATGTCAATGCTAGGAATGCAGAATTTCTGCAAAGAAAACCCCCCAAACCCACTGATCCTAAAAACAGGGGAGATAAAAGAAAAATGGAATGAGGATAATTTCATGTTGAAGAAGACAGAAATACAAATGTCTATATATCTGGTTTGCCTCCAGGAGAAATCCTCAGAAGACTTCAAAGTCAAGCTTTATGAAGATGATCAAAGAAATCTTAAAGGAGATGCGCTTTGCTGTTACTTGAAGAGGGAATCTGTGGGCCTTCCATTAAAGCTTTTGGATGAAAATGAAATTAGAGGCTGTAGGCCAGGTGCAGTGGCTCACGCCTGTAATCCAAGCACTTTGGGAAGCTGAGGCAGGTGGATCACCTGAGGCCAGGAGTTCGAGACCAGCCTGGCCAACATGGCAAAACACCGTCCCTATTAAAAATACAAACATTAGCCGGGCATGGTGGTGCATACCTGTAGTTCCAGCTACTCAGGAGGCTGAGGCAGCAGAATCGCTTGAACCCTGGAGGCAGAGGCTGCAGTGAGCCGAGATCATGTCATTGCACTCCAGCCTGGGCAACAAGAGTGAAATTCCATCTCAAAAAAAAAAAAAAAAAAAAAAAAAAGAGGTTACAAGAAGAAGCTGTCACTACAACAAAAGCTGTTGGTCTGGGGATCTGCAAGGGAGCTGGGCCATCCAGAAGGTACCATAAGCAAGTTGTCATAATCAAACATATGTTTCATCCTATGGATATTTTTGGTTGTTTTGTTTGTTTTCTGAGATAAGGTCTCACTATTGCTCAGGCTGGAGTACAGTGGCGTGATCACAGCTCACTGTGCAGCCTCAACCTCCTGGGCTCAAGGAATCCTCCTATCTCAGCTTCCCAAGTAGCTGGGACCACAGGTGTACACCACCATTCCTGGCTAATTTTTTTAAAAAAATTTTTGTAGGCCGGGCATGGTGGCTCACACCTGTAATCCCAGCACTTTGGGAGGCTGAGGCGGGTAGATCACGAGGTCAGGAGTTCGAGACCAGCCTGGCCAACGTGGTAAAACCCTGTCTCTACTAAAAATACAAAAATTAGCTGGGCATGGTGGTGGATGCCTGCAATCCCAGCTACTCGGGAGCTGAGGCAGAGAGTCGCTTGAACCCTGGAGGCGGAGGTTGCAGCGAGCCGAGATTGCACCACTGCACTCCAGCCTGGGCGACAGAGTGAGATTCCGTCTCAAAAAAAAAAATTTTTTTTTGTAGAGAAGGTGTCTCACCATGTTTCCCAGGCTGGTCTTGAACTCCTGGGCTCAAGAGATCTGCCCCTTGGCCTCCCAAGGTGTTGTAGTCACAGGCATGGGTCACTGCACCCGGCCCATCCTGTGGATTTTAAGGATGATGAGTTGGTGCTAAATGAGCTCAGAGAACTTTCAGTGCTCAACATTGAGACCAATGAGGAATGTTTTGTTTGACAGACTCATGGATGGTGTGGACTCTGTGTTCTGGAGGAATGCAGAGGAAACGGATTATTATATTCAAGTCCTCCTTGGAAGGTGGTTTGTTGACCCAGACATGGAATAAGGTTACAGACTATTAGGTTCAGGGGACCTCAGGAAAAAGGAGGAAAATCTAAGGGGATGGGAGGCTTTCCTCAGTGCCTGTGAGGCCAACAGACACTTTCAATCTCCAATGTGTGTATGCTTCAGAAAGGGCAAGATGTTGGCTGTCCTTTCACTCTCCACCAGCTGAAATGTGGTCTCTTCCCATTATCGCCATTCTGACCACTCTTCCCAAGTCACAGACACTTCTCAGATGCCAAACCCAAAAGGCGTGGCTGAATTCATTTGCATCAACTCAGGCAATGAATTTGGGAGGAGAGTTCGCTTGTCAGAACGTAAGAACGTCACATTTTGCAGTTGGTAATGTGGAGTCTAGGGACCCTTGGAATCACTTCCCTAGCTGATCGCCAGCACACCCTCTTTCATTCATTCAATCACACTTTAGCTTAGGTGCAGCTGGGAAGGGACTTCGCGGATGTAATTAAAGTCACAAATTGGTTTATCTTGAGGTAATCCAAAGGGAGACTGTGCAGGAGAGGTCTGACTCAATCACATCCAAAGCCTTCAGTGGTGGCTGGAGAGGAGAAAACACATTTCTGCACTTAGGAACCTCCTTTCTCACCTCAATTCTAGCAGCTCAGATGAGGTGTCAGCTCCCTGCAGGCTCTGGATGAGTCCGTGGGGCCACAGAAAAAAGAACTGCAGAAAACTCAGGAATAAAAATGGAGACAGTGACACTTCCAAGTAAAACTACTAGAAGTCTTCAGAAAGTAAGGCAAGAAAAGGAAACTTGAGGACCAGAGAAGCTGCCAGGCCAGTTCATTAAGCCTTGGCTTGACCAGGAAATCCAGTGTTTTCTTGAAGGATGGAAAATCTGGAGATGAAGAATGGGAATCATGTACTGTCAAACGCAGTTGCCAAGGGGTTCAAGCCCAGGGGTGTGAAGAAGAGCTGAGACCTGCCTACAGATGCCAAGATTGCAGGGCTCATCCTGGACTATTAATGAGACCATCCAGAGGCCAAGGAGCTTACAGGGCTCACCTTTGGGGATACTGGCCCAGCAGTGCTGCAGATCCTACCCTGAGTAGAGTGACATGAGAACTGGGCTGGGGGAGTTGAGGAGAAAAGGAAGTCTCAAAGGCTCTGTGTGTTTGTGTGTGTGTGTGTGTGTGTGTGTGTGTGTGTCTGTGTGTGTGTGTGTAAACTGGAAATGGTTAAACTCCCCTGTGTGCAGTGGCATACCAAGCAGGGTGGAGTGGGGGGAGGAGGCTACACTGCAAGGGGTATTTTGTCACTAACATTTTTTTATAATTGCTGGTGCGCAGTATCAATAAAAAGTTGGCTTCAGGCTGGGCGCAGTGGCTCACACCTGTAATCCTAGCACTTTGGGAGGATGAGGTGGGCAGATCACCTGAGGTCAGGAGTTCAAGACCAGCCTGGCCAACGTGGTAAAACCCCGTCTCTACTAAAAACACAAAAATTAGCCTGGCGTGGTGGTGTGTGCCTGTAATGCCAGCTACCTGGGAGGCTGAGGCAGGAGAATCACTGGAACCCGGGAGGCAGAGGCTGCAGTGAGCCAAGATGGTGCCACTGCACTCCAGCCTGGGCCAAAGAGTCAGACTCCATCTCAAAAAAAAAAAAAAAAAAAAAAGTTGGTTTTAGAATTATTTTTAAATTCTCCACAGACAATACACCTTCTTATTACCTGCACCTGGAACAACCATCCCCACTCCCTGCCCATGGTAAGCTGCAGCCTGTGTGTCCTATGTGGGTAAACAGTCCAGCTCTACCAGATTGTAAATGGGGTTGGGGGGTCGGGGTAGAGGGCATGGCGAGTAAGGATTATTTTTCGCATAATAACAGTTTTATGCAGCATGGTTTTGTACAAGAGAAGTGTTTTCTAAATATTTGGCAAATAAATGAATAATTGAATTTGAGTAATAATGAAGAAAATATGAGCAGGAATTTTACAAGAAGACCTTTAGTTTAAACAAGAAGAAAGCAAGCCAGGCACGGTGGCTCATGCCTGTAATCCCAGCACTTTGGGAGGCTGAGGTGGGTGGATCACCTGATGTCAGGAGTTCAAGACCAGCCTGGCCAACATGGTGAAACCCCATCTCTACTAAATATACAAAAAAATAGCTGGGCATGGTGGTGGATGCCTGCAATCCCACCTACTTGGGAGGCTGAGGCAGGAGAATCACTTGAACCCGGGAGGCGGAGGTTGCAGTGAGCCAAGATTGTGCCACTGCACTCCAGCCTGGGTGACAGGGCAAGACTCCGTCTCAAAAAAAAAAAAAAAAAAGAAGAAGAAGAAGGCATTCCTAATTACCCTGGTTGTAAGATAATACAAAACAGGAAATGACAGCATCATTAGAGATTTAAGGTTTCTTAACTTTTTACGTCTAGGACAGGTTTTGGAAGTCTGGTGAAGTCTGTGGAGTGTCAGAATAATCTTCAACTGCATAAAGTAAAATAAATGGGATTACAAAGGAAAACAATCATATTGAAGTACAGTTGTCAAAATGAAACAAAATGTGTAAGAAGAAGATCTAGTGGTGAGTCTAACCACTACCACTAACTACAAAGTAACCGTGAGCATACATGACATTTTGAAATTTCTGCAACTACTGGAAGATGACACAAATGTGTAAATTCTATTAACAACAGTCACATGTACTACAAATACCGGTGTAGGTTTATTGCCTACATTTATCATTGGAGAAAATGCTAAATTTCAGTTAGAGATTAGTGAAAATGAAATGTAATTTTCTCCTATTTTTGTTTGCCCTTTGGGATCCTGGATGAAGAGCCCTGCATTACACTGGGCACAGTGGCTCATGCCTGCAATCCCAGCTACTAAGGAGGCTGAGGTAGGAGGATCGCTGGAGCCTAGGAAGTTGAGGCTACAGTGAGCCGTGATCGTGCCACTCACTGCACTCCAGCCTCGGCAATAGAGCGAAACCCAGAAAGAAGAAAGAAAAGAAAAGAGAGAGAGAAGGAAGGAAGGAGAAAGAAAGAGAAGAAAGAAGAAAGGAGGGAGGGAGGGAAGGAGGGAGGAAGGAAGGAAGGAAGGAAAGAAGGAAAGAAGGAAAGAAAAGAATGAAAGGCCAGGCACGGCAGCTTACTCCTGTAATCCCAGCACTTTGGGAGGCCAAGGCAGGTGGATCACCTGAGGTTGGGAGTTTGAGACGAGCCTGACCAACAAGGAGAAACCCCATCTCTACTAAAAATACAAAATTAGCTGGGCATGGTGGCACATGCCTGTAATCCCAGCTACTCGGGAGGCTGAGGCACGAGAATTGCTTGGCCCAGGGAGGTGGCAGTTGTGGTGAGCTGAGATCGTGCCGTTGCACTCTAGCCTGGGCAACAAGAGTGAAACTCCGTCTCAAAAAAAAAAAGAAAGAAAGAAAAGAAAAGAAAAGAAAAGAAAGAAAGAAAGAAAGAAAGAAAGAAAGAAAGAAAGAAAGAAAGAAGAAAGAAAGAAAGAAAGAAAGAAAGAAAGAAAGAAAGAAAGAAAGAAAGAAAGAAAGAAAGAAGGAAAATAGCTCTGCATGAGAGCCAGTGATGTCTCAGAGTGGGAAGGAAGCCAGGTCAACATGTTGCCCCTACCAACAAGCCCTTAGGTTGACAGGAGGTGCCTCTCCCAGCTTTACATTCAGAGCCAACCTCCCCAGGAGGCTCTTTTCCATCCTAAGCCTTGTTTCAGGGATCAGGGAGTGGCAACTCTCCACATGCCTGCATGCTTCCATCTGAACCAATGTTGAAGGCTCTTCTACTATTCAAAGCCCCTAAGGATGTAACATTTGGAGAAAATATGCTAAAAAGACCTGGTACTCAGAGACAATTTTCTCCAAATGTTTGAATGGGAGCATCAAATGAGTCCCCAGCCTTGAAGGTTGGGTTGGTCTGGGGAGGAAAACTAATTGTCCTTTCAGCTCAGCTATATCATCAGTCCCAAGGCAGACGTTCAGAAGATTCTTTTCTAGTTCATAGGGAAAATGACACTTAATCCTATGAGAGCCCCAAAGGCAGAGGACATGGGATGTGGTATCAGGAACCTGGAAGACATGCTTTTGCAATGGGGTACACAGCACTTAAGTGAGGGAAACCACCAGGAAGTGGCACTGGCCCTGGAATTCCCTTCATGTCACACAGGGACAGAGAGGAAACTAACATTTTCTAAGGACTTATTCCATACCAGGGGCTGCACATTCTGTGTCTTATATCTATTACAAACTGTTTCTTCATAAGGCAGGTGATTTGTTTTTCTTTTCTTCTTTTCTTTCTTTTTTTTTTTTTTTTTGAGACAGGGTCTCCCTCTGTCACCTGGGCTGGAGTCTAGTGGTGCCATCTCGGCTCACTGCAACCTCTGCCTCCCCAAGCAATCCTCCTGCCTCTCAGCCTCCGGAGTAGCTGGGATTACTGGCATGCACCACCACACCCACCTAATTTTTGTATTTTTGGTAGAGACAGAGTTTCGCCATGTTGCTCAGGCTAGTCTCGAACTCCTGTGCTCAAGTGATCTGCCCACCTCAGCCTCCCAAAGTGCTAGGATTACAGGCGTGGACCACCATGCCCTGCCTGTTTTGTGATCTGCCCGCCTCGGCCTCCCAAAGTGCTGGGATTACAGGCATGAGCCACCACGCCTGGCTAGTGCCTGTATGTGTGTATGTGTGTGTGTATGTATATATATATATATATATATATATATATTTTTTTTTTTTTTTTTTGAGACAGAATCTTGCTCTTTTGCCCAGACTGGAGTGAAATGGTGTGATCTTGGCTCACTGCCAACTTCTGCCCCCTGAGTTCAAGCAATTCTCCTGCCTCAGCCTCCCAAGTAGTTGGGATTACAGGCACCTGCCACCATGCCTGGCTAATTTTTGTATTTTTAGTAGGGACAGGGTTTTGCCATGTTGGCCAGGCTGGTCTCAAATTCCTGACCTCAGGTGATCCACCTGCCTCAGCCTCCCAAGTAGTTGGGATTACAGGCGCCTGCCACCATGCCTGGCTAATTTTTTTATTTTTAGTAGAGACACGGTTTTGCCATGTTGGCCAGGCTAGTCTCAAATTCCTGACCTCAGGTGATCCACCTGCCTCAGCCTCCCAAAGTGTTAGGATTACAGGCGTGAGCCACCGCACCCAGCCTTTTCATATATATATATATATATATACTTTTTTTTTTGAGACAGAGTTTCGCTCTTGTTGCCCAGGCTGGAGTGCAATGGCGCAATCTTGGCTCACCACAACCTCCTCTGGGTTAGGGCAATTCTCCTGCCTCAGCCTCTCGAGTAGCTGAGATTACAGGTATGTGCCACCATGCCTAGCTGATTTTTTATATTTTTAGTAGAGATGGGGTTTCTCCATGTTGGTCAGGCTGGTCTTGAACTCCAAAACCGCAGGTGATCCGCCCACCTCAGCCTCCCAAAGTGCTGGGATTACAGGCGTGAGCCACCGCGCAGGGCCTCTTTTCATATATTTTTAACTAAATTAATAAAACAGCTGGGGCAGTGGCTCATGCCTGTAATTCCAACACTTTGGGAGGCCGAGGTAGGAGATCACTTGAGCTCAGGAGTTCAAGACCAGCCTGGGCAACATGGTGAAACCTCGTTTACCAAAAAATACAAAAATTAGCCAGGTGTGGTGGCACATGACTGTAGTCCCAGCTATCCCAGAGGCTGAGGTGGGAGGATTGCTTAAATCCATGAGGTCGAGGCTGCAGTAAACTGTGATCATGCCACTGCATTCCAGCCTGGGTAACTGAGCAAGACTCTGTCTCAAAAAACTAAAAACTAGGCAGGCGTGGTGGCTCATGCCTGTAATCCCAGCACTTTGGGAGGCCGAGGCAGGCAGATCACATGAGGCCAGGAGTTTGAGACCAGCCCAGCCAACATGGCAAACATGTATTTCAGTGTCTACTGAAAATACAAAAATTAGCTGGATGTGGTGGTGCGTGCCAGTAATCCCAGCTACTCAGTAGGCTAAGCCAGGGGAATCGCTTGAACCCGGGAGGCAGAGGTTGCAGTGAGCCGAGATGGTGCCTCTGCACTCCAGCCTGGGCAACAGAGCGAGACCCTGTCTCAAAAACACAAACAAATAAAGAAAACTCCAAAAAACTGAAAAGTAAATAAATAAATAAAACAAAACAAAATGTGGAAGCAATAGCAAAGGCTTGACCTTGCTCCAAAATCACAGGTTTTTTTTAAGCTGTGTTCTTATAAACTTCCAAATGAGATGAAGATAAACTTCTGCTGAGAGGGGCATGGTCATGACTTACAGTTTGGGCAGGACAAAGTATTTTCCATCACACACACACACACACACACACACACACACACACACACTCACCTTCACACATACGGTGTTATTTCTACTAAGTTGTACTTGATTCTTCTCCAGTGGCTCTGTCTGGAGTTTATTTAATGTTACTAGTTTGCCAATGAATAGACTAAGACAATAAGCAATTTTGCTTTTATTTCTTTATTTTAAAAAACTGCTTGTTAGTCTTATGAGAAAACAAAGTGAAGAATAAAGGTAACTACTGCATGTACCACAGTAGCGAGAGAAAAAAGAGTGTCAATTAATCTAATTGATAGTCAGAGGATTGCATGGCTATTAGTGATGGAGTCGGGATTTGGGCACGTGTACATTTGTTGGATTTTGCAGCCTGGCATCTATATCCCATTTGTCTGGTGGCAAGATCCCATTTTTGCGTTGGGGCCATTATCCTCCAACATTGGGTAGTCTATGGTACTATTCCTCAAGGGACCCTCCCCTTCCTCAGATGAGTGTGAGCACCTGACCCACCCTAAGCCTATTGGAGTTCTCTCTTTTTGATCCAAAGTAGAAGCACTGACCATTGGTGTCTGCTGCCTGGATGCTGGAACTATCCTGGCTTCTGTCCTTTCCAAAGACCGCCTGTTCAGCTTTTCCTTCAGTTCTGTAAATATTTTTTCAATAATTTACTATTACTTATTAATCTGTTGCTTCTCTACAACCGGCTGCCTCCTCAGCTCCATGACTCCCAGCCTGGAGTCATAGAACAAAAGCTGAATGTGGGCACAGAAGGTTCAGCCACTGAGTGCCTATATGGTTTTGAACTCATTATTTGAAATTCAAGCTCATTACCTGAAACAGGAAGAACACCTCCTCATAAGGCTGGTATGTGAATTCAATTAGATGAAATATGTGCTCTCCGAGATCAAGGACTTTGATTTAGTCTCTGCTGAATCCGCAGTGCCTATCACAGAACACAGAGAAGAGCTTCAATAAATGTGTTGGTTTAATGACAACTGCTTCTGAAAACACTTTGTTAACGCTAGTACGTAACATGAATAGCTGTGTCCATTATGTCCAGGGTGAAGTCAGCCAATTTCGATTCTCCTCTCCTTAAAGTTTTGTCTTGCTTTCTCTTTCTTTCCTTGAATCTTCACACTAAATCTACTTTGTTTTTTAATTTTTTAAAAAGAGATAGGGTCTCACTCTGTCACCCAGGCTGGAGTGCAGTAGTGCAATCATAGCTCACTGCAATCTCTAACTCCTGTTCTCAAGCAATCCTCCTGCCTCAGCCTCACAACTAGCTGGGACCACAGGCATGGGCCACCATGCTTGGCTTTTTGCTTTTTTTTTTTTTTTTTTTTTGGTAGAGATGGGTCTCCCTATGTTGCCCAGGCTAGTCTCAAACTCCTGTGCTCAAGATCCTCTGGCCTCTGCCTTCCAAAAGGATTACAGGCATGAGTCACCACCCTGGGCCTCTGACTACTTTATTTTAAAGCCCAGCCAATTTATATCTTTTTATTATTATTATTATTATTATTTTTGAGACAGAGTCTCACTGTCACCCAGGCTGGAGTGCAGTGGCCATCTCGGCTCATTACAACCTCCGCCTCCCAGTTTCAAGCGACTCTCCTGACTCAGCCACCCTAGTAGCTGGGATTATAGGCAGGCACCACCACGCCAGGCTAATTTTTGTATTTTTAGTAGAGATGGGTTTTCGCCATATTGGCCAGGCTGGTCTAGAACTCCTGGCCTTAAGGGATCTTCCCGCCTCGGCTTCCCAAAGTTCTGGGATCCCAGGTGTCAGCCACCTCGCCAGGCTGCTTGATATCTTAAAATCAGAAAAGCCACCCATCTTAAGTGGAGGGTGGGTGGGTCCATATTTACAGGAATGGAAGAAAGGAGGATGTTCCCTCTCTTTTGTCCACGTTCAGCAGCTCTGAAATTAATGCCAAGGCGAGCAAACGCCCGCCCCCCACCCCCTGCCGCCCTCGCCTTATGCCGAGACTTTGCTGTTGAACACGAAGTAAACGTTTCCCAGAAAGCCCAGTTTAAGAAACAATTCAGGGCGAGGTGAGGGCACAAAGGTAGAGAAATAAGGGGAAATGATATTTCTTTAAAGAACAGAGATCCCTGAATAGCACCGGGGGCCGTTACAGCCCATGAGGACATCTCCGAGTCCTTCTATATGACACTAGGGACCCCCGTGCCATATACAGACACTGTTCTCAGAGATTAGAAGGGGGAAAGAGGATATTGCCACAGTTCTGTCCTTCGAAATGACTCCAGATGCTTCTGAGTCTGTGAGGCCCCTGTGTCCGTCATCAGCAAAACAAGTGAGGGAGAAGTTTGAGGAGTGATGACCCTAGCAGTTATGGGTTTAAGCCTGGGAATCTTAAGCCACAGAGCAGAGGATTTGGGGGCTGAAGAAAAAGACCCTCCGCAGCTTCAGCGCGAAGAGGGCGGCGGGGACCGGGGTGGTGGGGGTGGAACCTCGCCGCCTTCCGAAGCAGGAGTAAGCTGCAGAGGCTGCGCGGGGGTTTGAGCGGAGCGAGAACAGCTCCTTCCCTTGATCATGCTGCCCTCCGGAGGTCAGTTTAGGTATCGCCGCTCCCTTTCACGCTGTTTTGTCTCTTCACCGTCTGTTCTGGATCATCCTGTCCAGAGAGACCGTTGGGTCAGAGGGTTCCTGTGGACCCCTGGGGCGAGCTTAATGTCCCCGAAAACTGCGTGCTCCAGTATCACTTGAATGCCCACCGGGTTCCGGAATCACGAGTCTCCAGAGCTGTCCCTTCGCCCCACGGCTCACATTCCAGGTCTGCCCCTCAGTGACTTCTGCAACAACACGCGCTTCTCGATCAGCTCTGAGGATTTGGGTTCTGCGACGGACAGGGGAAGGAAAGAAGGAAGGCTGTGAAGAACCGTGGTGCCTGCCTGCACAGCCCTCCTCGCGTGCGAGCATTAGTTGGCTAAAGTCGCCTGTCTCGACAGTCTCCCCTGCGGGGTATCTGGGGACCCTTTCTTTGGGAATCCACGCTCTTTGTCAGAGTAGCCAATGCCTCTCCTGTCCAAAATCTCATACCCTTGGCCCTTCTCCCGTCCTCGCGCTGAGGCTGGAGTCAGGTCAAATGTCAGAACATCTGGATGTCCCAAGAGTGACACCTGGGAGTGGGTGGGCAAGAAACCAGTAGCGGGAAGGGAAAGTGGAGGAGCAGAGGATTCCCGGGGCCGGCGTCTGGGGTGAGCTCGCGGCCCCTCAGAGCCTGGCACATCGCCGCCTGGCATCCGGCAGGCGTGAGGGAACGCATAGCGCAGCGAGTCAGGCGCGGTAAACCCGGAGCAACGCGGAGGCGGTGATCTGGGCAAGGGCGAGGTCAGTTAAGGACGCAGTTCTGGCCCCGCCCTCAAGGCACGCCTGGCCAATCAGGAATCGCTGATTCACCAAGCCTCTCCTCCTGCGCTCGCCCTCTTCTGCACTTCGGTCTCAGGCGCAAACACGTTCAAAGTCGCTAGGCCAAAGCGCTGAGATACGGTTTCCCAAGCCAATTAGAGAGCGGCTCTCGGATATGGGGCGGAACCCTGAAAAGGCGAGAGCTGAGATGCCGCTCCGTTCTGCCTTACCACGCCGCCCCCCAGCGTCCGCCAATTAGGAGAGCCCGGAGCCGGATCCACTCTCAGCCTCAGGAAGCAGCAGCCTCCGCTCCGCGGCGGGTGTGCTCGGCAGTCACAGACCCACTCAGGACACCTCCCGTTGCCGACGGGCTAGACCTGCATCCGAAGGGCCTAAGCGGGGAGGAACCGCTTTCCACCACTCTCCAGGGACCTGGGGAGGGAATGTTTAGGCCGTAGGGGTGGAGGACACAGGAAACGTAACATTTTTCCTTAACTGCGCCTCTCTTCTTAGGCCTTAAAGGGGTCCCCGTGTCTCTCCAGTCTAGAGCCTAAGTTCAAACGAGGCGTATAGGCGAGGACAGCAGGAAGGCTCCAAGTCAAACAAACGGATGGTACGAATTTCGCCTGGTCTAGCCCTGCCCCAACGGTGTGGGTGTGGGTTGGGTGCTGCAGCCCCCGAGCAAGGGGCTGTCACAGCCACAACCAGAGGAGCTATGGAGCTGCTACGGAGGAGGGATTCCAGAGTCAGCTTGGGCTTGTCCCAAGGGAGCCCTTGGGACAGTGTCTGGGGCTGCGCGGCCTGGTTCTCATCCCTTGCAGCATCTGCTATTTTAGCCAGGGGCCACCTTCCTCCAATGGCCTGGGAGTAGCTAGAGGTTAGAGGTTACACCCACCAGAAGGGATGTAAGCCCAGGAAGTAGTCAGAAAGGAAAGGTCATTCTAGAGATGGGGCCACCTGAAAAACCTTCAGGAGGAAGGAGAAAGGAAATGGGATAAGTGTCATGTCATACTAAATATTTATTTTCTGCAGACTGACTTCGGAGTAATTCTTGAGCCAGGAGGGGAGAGGTTAGTGTTCAAATTGCTGAGATCTTAGGTCAAAAAGCTACAGAAAAGAAATCACTCTGAAAAACACAATGACTCAGAGGCAGTCACCCCTTGCCAGCAATTCCAAGAGCTGAGGAGGCTTCATGCCTCAGGACATGGTGACTAGTTGAGTGAACCAGAGATTGAGGCAGTGGTTTTTACAGGGGAAGAAACAAGCCTTGGGTGTATGGGAGCAGGAAAGGAGGGTGACAGACTGGAGAAATGATAAAGGCCATTTTGGAAGCCCACAGGGAAGTGGTCTTGGGAAACCTGAAGACACTGGGATATTCAGAAGGCCAAGGGGATCCAGCTTATCCTGTTGGGCAAGGTGCTGGGAGTGAAGGCAGGTAAGCCATGTCAAGGGCCTGGGAAGCAAGGGGAAAACTGGAAGGGGTACCCCAGGTGAAGAAGGGTATGGAATGGGGTGCAGAAGTCCATGGAGATGACCGGCAGATCTCAGGGCGGTTTCTGGCACATCAGAAGTTGGGCTTATGCTTCTTGAGCTCCACCATAAGGTGGTGAATGTTGATGAGCTCAGCCCGGGCAGGGAGGGCTCGGAGCTGCGGCTGGGACAGCACCCGGTGGAAGCGATGATAGAGCTGGATCAGCTGGGTCAGCGCTCCCTGGTCAAAGAAAGTCATTGAGGGATCAAACCGTAAAATGGTGCTAATAGTGATGATTAAGAATCAGGTTAGGCGGCCAGGCGCAGTGGCTCACACTTGTAATGCCAGCACTGTGGGAGGCCATGGCGGGCAGATCACGAGGTCAGGAATTCGAGACCAGCCTGGCCAACACAGTGAAACCCCATCTCTACTACAAATACGAAAATTAGCTGGTTGTGGTGGCAGGCACCTGTAATCCCAGCTACTTGGGAGGCTGAGGCAGGAAAATCACTTGAACCTGGGAGGCAGAGGTTGCAGTGAGCCGAGACTGTGCCACTGCACTCCAGCCTGGACAACAGAGCTAGACTCTGTCTCAAAAAAAAAACAAAACAAACAAAAAAAAAAGAATCAGGTTAGGGCTCATACAGAACTTTGGGCACAGCTAGTAACTGAAGACCAAGGGTCACTTAGATGATGCTGAGCCCAGCAAAAAGATGGGGAAAATAATTAATGATGGGGGATCTGAGTGGGGCCTGGGACTTGCAGGTCACCTGAATGATACTGGTGCCATTTCTGAAGTTGGTGAAACTCCGCATTACATCCTGACTCAGAGATTCCACTGATGATTTCCAGGAACTACCAAAGCCACGGATCAGCTGAGTTACCCGGGCTAATAGCAGGAGGAAACAGTGTCAGAGAGGGATCTGGCTGATCTTCAACTCCACTAAGTTCTCCCCAAGGTATAGCCATCCTTATCATCAAACCCTCTTTTCTGGTATTCTCTCAATCCAGTCTTTCATACTCTATTCCCCCACCATGTAATCTGCATCCTTTCATTTTTCTTTTCCACTTCCCTTACCACTGATCCCATCATTACCATATTTTCCTCATACCTTCTTCCCCTCGAAGTCGCTCAGCCTGTCCACGCTCAATCAAAGCCTCAGCCTCCTTCACAAATGCCACTAAACCCCCAAAAGGGGGAGACAGCAACTCTTCAATGAATTCCTGGAAAGACACAAACACATATACACAGGTGTCCTGGTGTCAGCAGATTTGCCCAATTCTGGCATCATGACTAATGTAGATCCATCTGAATGGCATCTTTCAGCTGCTGCAAAAGTTAAGGAAAATCCTCTATGGAGAAAAATATCCTCAATCCTAATTTTGGCCCATACAGTTCCCCTGGTTAAGATCAAACAATGAACTCAAAGATCACTAGACACAAAAGAAGGGCAGCTACCAAGAGAGTCAGCAGACACAATAAGCAATAGCTGCTGACCTTAAGAACTATCCGATACGGATAGCAGTTGTACTGTGTGCAATGTCTAAAGTTAAGGATAGGCCGGGCACAGTGGCTCACGCCTGTAATCCCAGCACTTTGGGAGGCTGAGGTGGGCAGATCACCTGAGGTCAGGAGTTCAAGACCAGCCTGGCCAACATGATGAAACCCCATCTCTACTAAAAATACAAAAATTAGCTGGGCATGATGGTGGATGCCTATAATCCCAGCTACTCGGGAGACTGAGGCAAGAGAATCACTTGAACTTGGGAGGCGGAGGTTGCAGTGAGCAGAGATCATGCCACTGCACTCCAGCCTGGATGACAGAGCAAGACTCTGTCTCAAAAAAAAAAAAAAAAAAAGGATGTAAAAATGACCAATTAGTAAGAACTATGAGGAATGAACAGACTTGAAAAAAGGAAATTTTTTTAGATATGAAAAGCCAGTTTTAGAAAGTCAACAGATTAACAAGAATTATACAATGAATTAGAATTTATAACTGAAGAAAGGACTCAGAATGTAGCACAGACAGAAGATGGAAAATTTTGAGATAGTAGGAGATACAGAAATCTAATTAATGTATCTAGGCACTGAAATTGATGGCTACTAACATCACAAAGAGAGCCAAGAAGACATTATGTGCTTCCTGATGGAAATACATACCACTACCTCTCAAATATCCCTGTAGAAAAAAAAAAACTAATTTAAATCTGACCAAGCCTTTCCATCTAATTACACACTTATGAGAAATACACCAGACAGAGGAAGTTTGGCCACACCATGGAATGCAGTCAGCAAAATCTAAACTGTACATCATTCTAGATGACAAATGACTCAATAACTCAGTTTCTTCCAAAAATAAATTGCAGAGGAGATGGAAGGGAAATCTATAGACTAAAAAAAGACACATATATGGACTTTATATGGATCCTGATTTGAACCATAAAAATCATTTATGAAGGCCAGGCACAGTGGCTCATGCCTGTAATCCCAGCATTTTGGGAGGCTGAGGCGGGTAGATCACCTGAGGTCAGGAGTTTGAGACCAGCCTGGCCAACATGGTGAAATCCTGTCTCTACTAAAAATACAAAAATTAGCTGGGCGTGGTGGTGGGTGTCTATAATCCCAGCTACTCAGGAGACTGAGGCAGGAGAATTGCTTGAACCCGGGAGGCAGATGTTGGAGTGTGCCAAGATCGGGCCATTGCACTCCAGCCTGGAGGCAACAAGAGTGAAACTGTGTCTCAAAAAAAAAAAAAAAAAATCACTTATGAAATAACTGGGAAAATCTGAATAGTTATTTTAGATAAGATAATTTTTTTAAGTGTGATAATGTATTGTAGTTTTTAAAACCATCTGTTACCAGGTGTGGTGGCACACACCTGTAGTCCCAGTTACTTAGGAGGCTGAGGTGGGAGGATCACTTGAGCCCAGGAGTTCGAGGCTGCAGGGAGTTATATCATGCTACTACACTCCAGCCTGGGCACTACAGCAAGGCCCTATCTCAAAAATAATTTTCTTAATAAAAATAACATTCTGATACAGATGAAGTGATAATATTCATCTGTATATGTATAAGATTTAATTCAAAGTAACTGGGGGACACAGAAGGAGGATAAGCAATAGGTGTTGGTATAGATGAAACAAAACTGTCCGTGAACTGCTATACACCGAATATCACTGATGATGCCTGGGGGTTCACTATGCTTTTCTAATAGCATAGTGAAATTTCCCATAATAAAATGTTAATTTTTGTTTAATGTAAAAGGGAGATTCAAACAAAAAAACTCATAAAAGCAAACAACCCAGACAGAAAGATCTGGTAAGAAGAAAGTGAAATTATTATTCCATTTAAAAATAAATTATTAATACTAAAATTAGCCAGGTGTGGTGGTGCATGCCTGTAACCCCAGCTACTCAGGGAGACTGAGGCAGAAGAATCACTTGAACCGGGAGGCAGAGGTTGTAGTGAGCCAAGATCATGTCACTGCACTCCAGCCTGGGCGACAGAGCAGCAACTTGTCTCAGTAAATAAATAAATAAATAAATAAATAAAAATTGTATCTTTTCTATTCTTCCCTCAAAATATTCACTTATATCCACTGAGGGTGTCAAATAACTAATATGCTGCAAGGAAGTATCTTTCTATAATCAAGGCATCTTTGTGATGTGATTTTGGACAGAGATTAAATAACCAAATTCAACCTATTACAGTTGCCTAAATGCAGTCTCACACACACATATACAAACAATAATGTAGCAGTGTACGGTGGGGCACAGGGAGTAGACTTGCCAAAGAAAAGTTGAACTAACAGTGATGACCCCTGCTAGGCAGGAGCCATAAATTATATAATGTGTTGTAAGCATGATATATACACCTGATTTTGAAGACTTCATCTTAGAATAAATTTTAAGTATATCTTTTTTTTCTTTTTTTTTTTCGGAAACAGGGTCTTGCTCCATCACCCACGCTGGAGTGCAGTGGCACAATCACAGCTCACTACAACCTCAACTTTCCTGGCTCAGTGATTATCCCACCTCAGCCTCCTGAGTAGCTGGGACTAACAGGCATGTGCCAACATGTCCCACTCATTTTTTTTTTATTTTTTGTAGAGATGGGGTTTCACCATGTTGTCCAGGCTGGTCTCAAACTCCTGGGCTCAAGCGATCCTCCCTGCCTTGGCCTGTGCTGGGATTACAGGTGTGAGCCACCGTGCTGGCCTCAGTACTATTTTTTATTGATTATATGTTGAAATAATAATATTTTGGATGTAGTGGTTTAAAAAATTATTTCATCTGTTTCTCCTTACTTTTTAATGTAGCTTCTAGAAAATTTAAAATTATTTAAGTGGCTCACATTTGTGGCATGCATTATATTCCTATAGGAGTACTGGTCTGGACTTAGATGAACTTTAAGCTTTCTATAACGCAAAAGAGAACACCTTGATAGCAGAGGAGTGACCAGAGGAAACAGTGCACTGGGCTTTAACAATCTTTCCTACGTAGTATGAAGCAGCAGCTGACCAAAAAGGACCAGAAGCATTGATGGCAGCTGGCGAGTCTCTATACCTGGCAAATCCAGTGACAAATCCCAGCTGCTCTCAGCAGAAACAACTGGTTTAAGTGCATCTTTGTGGGTGCCTTAATCTCCTGCAATGATCCCGCCTCAGCCTCCCAAGCAGCTAGAACTACAAATGCATGCCACTACGCCTGGCTTTTTTTTTTTTTTTTTTTTTTTTTTAAAGAAATGGGGTCTTAGCCGGGCATGGTGGCTAACACCTGTAATCCCAGCACTTTGGGAGGCCAAGGCGGGCAGATGACGAGGTCAGATCAAGACCATCCTGGCTAACATGGTGAAACCCCCCGTCTCTACTAAAAATACAAAATACAAAAAAAATACTGGGCATGGTGCTGGGCACCTGTAGTCTCAGCTACTCAGGAGGCTGAGGCAGGAAGAATGGCATGAACCCGGGAGGCGGAGCTTGCAGTGAGCTGAGATTGCACCACTGCACCACTCCAGCCTGGGAGACAGAGGGAGACTCTGTCTAAAAAAAAAAAAAAAAAAAGAAATGGAGTCTCACTATGTTGCCCAGGCAGATCCCCTCAAACTCTCAAACTCCTGGGCTCAAGAGATTCTCCCATCTCAGCATCCCAAAGTGCTGGGATTACAGGCATGAGCCACAGCACCAGCAACAATTCTTTCAAAATCAGGAATATGAAAAGGGTTCTCACTATCACCTTTCTGTTCAACTTCTAAACATCATCCTGGGAGTGTTAGCCAGTAGAATAAGAAATCAAAAACATAAGATGTTAAAGACAAAAAACTAGAAAAGATTTATTTATTCCTAGTAGAACTAAACATACGTATTATACCCACCTAAAAATATGGCAAACGACTTACAGTGTCTTTGTGCTGAAAATTTAAAAAGGTTATCAAAAGACATTAAAAGACTCTCTTAAAAATTGGAGGAGGAGGCCAGGTGGAGTGGCTCACATCTGTAATCCCAGTTTAGTGAGACACTACAAAAAATTAAATTTTTAAATTTTGTATTCTCTACAGAAAAAAAAAAGCCAAGTGTGGTGCTGTGTGCCTCTAGTCCTAGCTACTCGGGAGGCTGAGACAAGAGAAGCACTTGAACCCAGGAATTCAAGGCTGCAGTGAGCTATGATTGTGCCACTGCACTCCAACCTGAGTGACAGAGCAAAACCTGTCTCAAAAAAAAAAAAAAAAAAAAAAAAAAAAAAAAAAAAAAAAAAAAAAGGATAGGGAGCCCATGATCATGATCATGGATAGGAAGTTTCAATATCATAAAGTATCAATTCTTCCAAATTAGTCTATAGACAATGTAATTCTAATCAAAATCCTTAAAGACTTTTTAAAATGTGAAAACTTTTCGAGACCAGCCTAGCCAACACGGTGAAACCCCATCTCTACTAAAAATACAAAAATTAGCTGGGTGTGGTGGCACATGCCTGTAATCCTAGCTACTCAGGAGGCTGAGGCAGGAGAATCACTTGAACCCAGGAGGCAGAGGTTGCAGTGCGCTGAGATTGTGGCCCTGCACTCCAGCCTGGGTGACAAGAGTGAGACTCTGTCTAAAAAAAAAAAAAAAGAAAAGAAAAAAAAAGAAAAGAAAAAGATTTTCTATAAATGGTTCTGGGCCAACCATCCACATAAAAAAAAGAAATAGATCCCTACCTCACATCACACACAAAAATTAATTCCAAGTAAATTTGAGACTTAAAGGTAACAAAAAAATTCTCTCTATATATTTGTTTATTCTTTAATTTTATTATTATTTTTTGAGACAGGGTCTCACTCTGTTGCCCAGGCTGGAGTGCAGCAGCACAAACAGGGCTCACTGCAGCCTCGACCTCCCAGGCTCAAGTGATCCTCCCACCTCAGCTACCTGAGTAGCAGAGACTACAGGTGTGTGCCACTATGCTTGGCTAATATATTTTTTTAATTTTTTGTAGAGATGAGGTCTCACTATACTGCCTAGGCTGGTCTCAAACTCCTGGCTTCAAGCAATCTTCCTGCCTTGGCCTCCCAAAGTGCTGGGATTACAGGCTTTAGCCACTGCACCTGGCCAAAATTCTACAATATTAAGAAGAAAATGTAGCATAATATTTTTCTGGCCTTGGAGTAATAAGGAATTTCATTTTTTTTTTTTTTAAACGGAGTCTCACTCTATCACCAGTCTGGAGTGCAGTGGCACGATCTTGGCTCACTGCATCCTCCACCTCCCTGGTTCAAGTGATTCTCCTGCCTCAGCCTCATGAGTAGCTAGGACTACAGGTACGCATCACCACGCCCAGCTAATTTTTTTGTATTTTTAGTAGAGACGAGGTTTCACCATGTTGGCCAGGATGGTCTCGATCCCGTGACCTCGTAATCCACCCGCCTCAGCCTCCCAAAGTACTGGGATTACAGGCGTGAGCCACCACACCCAGCCCAGGAATTTCTTAAACAGGACAAAAATAGTCAGGCGTGGTAGATGGTGGCTGTAAGCCCAGCACTTTGGGAGGCTGATGCGGGAGGATCACTTGAGGCCAGGAGTTTGAGACCAGCCTGGGCAACATAGTGAGACTCTGTCTCTACAAAACAACAACAACAACAAAAATTAGCTGGGCATATGGCACACACCTGTAGTCCTAGTTACTTGGGAGGCTGAGGGAGGAGGGTTGCCTGAGCCCAGGAGGTTGAGGCTACAGTGAGCCATGATCACACTACTGCATTCCAGCTTGGGTGACAGAGCAAGACTGTTACTAAAAACAAAGACATAAAAATGAAGGACAGATAAATTCAATCATATTAAAATTACAAATTTCTTTAATCAAAAAGCAACATTAAAAAAACAAAGGCTGGACGCGGTGGCTCATGCCTGTAATCCCAGCATTTTGGGAGGCTGAGGCGGATGGATCACCTGAGGTCAGGCGTTCAAGACTGGCCTGGCCAACATGGCAAAACCCATCTCTACTAAATATACAAAAATTAGCCGGGCGTGGTAGCACACGCCTGTAATCCCAGCTACTCAGGAGGCTGAGAAAGGATAAGTGCTTGAACCCGGGAGGCAGAGGTGCAGTGAGCTGAGATCACACCATTGCACTCCAGCCTCGGCAACATGAGTGAAACTCCATCTCAAAAAAAAAAAAAAAAGGTGCAAGGATTTCTTGAGCCCAGGAGCCTGGGCAACACAGAAAGACCCTCATCTCACCAAAAAAAAAAAAAAAAAGCAAAAAGATACATACTAAAAGATAATCTGTAACCTACGTATAATCAACAAGATTAGTATGTAGATGATGCAAAGAACTCTTATAAATAAAAAATACTAGCAGACTTATTTTTTTCTTTATTTTTTGAGAGAGTCACGCTCTGTAACTGAGGCTGGAGTGCAGTGGCATAATCTTGGCTCACTGCAACCTCCGCCTCCCAGGTTCAGCGCCCCTGAGGAGCTGGGACTACAGGCATGCGCCACTATGCCTGGTTAATTTTTGTACTTCTAGTAGAGACAGGGTTCTGCCATGCTGGCCAGGCTGGTCTTGAATTACTGGCCTCAACTGATCCATCCGCCTCAGCCTCCCAAAGTGCTGGGATTACAGGTGTACACCCTGCCCAGCCACAAGCCGATTTTTAAAAGGTCAAATGCTATGACAGCCATTTTACAGGAAAAAAAAAAATTGTATAGTTGTGGTGACGCTCCTCACACAGAGCACCAGCTTCAGGGAGTCTGTCCCTTGCAGACCCCTGACCCGGCAACGGATGAATGAGGTACACTGACACACAGATACTCTGCTTTGCCAGTCCAGCTGAGTGTGTCCAGGCTGTTTACAGACTCCCTGAAGAGTACTGTAAACAGTTGCAATGGCGGCCCTGACCAGCTAGTGAGACTCGCATTTATTCAGTAAAGATTAATTGACAAAGACTTGAGTCAACACCACTACGGGGTAACTGACATTGTGGACTTCCTGAGTAGAAAGCAGTTAAGCACCTGCGGTACATCAAAGATTAGTCTTAAGACCATATGAGTAAACAAGCTACCTAGATAACTTCCCCACATTCCTTTGTTATTACTCTAATTTATTTAACTAAAGGTAAAGATCAGGTCGCCTTCAACCATATCTATTACTGAAGTTATGCAAACTCTTAGGCCTTCCAAGAGGGTTTGTGGCTATCATCACTAATATTTTTCCCACCAGCCTGACTGAACCCCTACATATAGTTACTAAACATTTGAAATGATGCTCAATGTTATTAGTAATCAGAAAATTACAAATAAAACCCACTGAAATACAGGTTGAGTATCCCTAATCCAATAATCTGAAATCCAAAATGCTCCAAAATCCGGAAGTTTTTGAGTATCAACATGATGCTCAAAGGTAATGCTCTTTGGAGCATTTCAGATTTCAGATTTTCAGACTACAGATGCTAACCAGTAAAAATAATGCAAGGAATCCAAAATCCGAAAAAAATCAAAATCTGAAACATTTCTGATCCCGAGCATCTTTAGCAGCATCCTTGGTCTCTAAAAAAAAAAAGAAAAAAAATGGCAAAGACCTGATAATACCACATGTTGGAGAAAATGTGGCTCAGTAGGAATTCTTACATATTGCTGGTGAGAAGGAACTACTTAGGAAAACAATTTATCATTGTCTCATAAAGACTAATACTGCATATCTTATTAGCAGCAAGACTACTGTCCTAGGTTTATACCCAAGAGAAACTTTTGATGAAGATAATCAATATCTATGTGTGCTAAAAGACATGATTATTCATAAAACAATGCTCACAGAAGCAAGAAACTGGAAACAATCCATTTATAGAATATGTTTAATCACACAAGTCATATATGGCAGTGAAAAGGAATGAGCTATAGCCATATGCAATAACATGACAATATTAGAAAAATTATGCATGAAAAAAATCCTGTGATTCTGGGGTTTTTTGTTTTGTTTTGCTGTTTGAGACAGGGTCTTGCTGTGTTGCCAAGGGTAGACTACAATGTCATGATCATGGCTCGCTGTAATCTCGAACTCCTGGATTTCAAAGTGGTCCTCTCGCCTTTGTCTCCCAAATAGCTAGAACTACAGGTGCATACCACCATGCCTGGCTTTTTTTTTTTTCTTTTTTGCCTTGCTGTTTTCTTGCCTTGTCTCATCAGTGTTTATATCATTAAAAAATAAAACAACCCAGTGCAGTGGCTGTTTTGTTTTTTAATGATATAAACACTCACAAACACACCACACAATCCAAGTAGCAGCAGCTTGGCAAAAGTCACCATCAAACTATGAAATCCTACTGAAACCATCCCTGTGCTTCTCGTGCACAGGTACTCGTTGATCTAAATGTTGCATTTATTGTGTTCTTGCTTTTTTCCCCCTTTTTTTGTGTGTGTTCTTGCTTTTAAAAGTAAAGCTATATATATGCCAAAACAAAAATTCGTTGTTTTCCAGTGTCATTAAAAACAGAATCTAGGCCGGGTGCAGTGACTCATGCCTATAATCCCAGCACTTTGGGAGGCTGAGGCGGGTGAATCACCTGAGGTCAGGAGTTTTAAGACCAGCTGGGCCAACATGGTGAAACCCCATCTCTACTAAAAATACAAAAATTAGCTGGACATGGTGGCACGTGCCTGCAGTCCCAGCTACTCAGAGGCTGAGGCAGGAGAATCACTTAACCTGGGAGGCGGACGTTGCAGTGAGCTGACATCGTATCGCTGCACTCCAGTGTGGGAGTCAGAGTGAGACTCCGTCTTTAAAAAAAAAAAAGAATCATAAGATTTTTCACTTGAGGGCAGTAATTCAAGACCAGCCCAGGCAACAGTTGTCTTTTGTAAAGACAACTGTCTTTACAAAATTAAAAAATTAGCTGGCACACACCTACAGTAAACTCATTTTTGGTAAAAGTGCCAAGAACATACACTGGGGAAAAGATAGTCTCTTGGTCAGGCACGGTAGCTCACGCCTGTAATCCCAGCACTTGGGAGGCCAAGGTGGGAGGATCACTTGAAGTCAGGAGTTCAAGACAAGCCTGGCTAACATGGTGAAATCCCGTCTCTACTAAAAACACAAAAACTAGCCCGGCGTGGTGGCAGGCATCAGTAATCCCAACTATTCAGGAGGCTGAGGCAGGAGAATCACTTGAACCAAGGAGGCAGAGGTTGCAGTGAGCCAATACTGCACCACTGCACTCCAGCCTAGGTGACAGAGCAAGACTCCGTCTGAAAAAAAAAAAAAGAGAGATAGTCTCTTCAATAATGGTGCTGGGAAAACTGGCTATCCATTACACAGAAGAATGAAACTATACCCCTATCTCTCGCCACATATGAAAACCAAATCAAATGGATTAAAGACTTAAATCTAAGACCAAATTATGAAACTACTACAAGAAAACACTGGGGAAAATCTCCAAGACACGGGTCTGGGCAAAAATTTCTTGAGCCATACCCCACAAGCACAGGCAACCAAAGCAAAAATGGCCAAATGGGATCACGTCAAGTTACAAAGCTTCTGCACAGCTGGGCACGGTGGCTCACGCCTGTAATCCCAGCACTTTGGGAGACAGAGCTGGGCAGATCACCTGAGGTCAGGAGTTTGAGACCAGCCTGACCAACATGGTGAAACCCCATCTCTACTAAAAATACAAAATTAGCCAGGCATGGTGGCACATGCCTGTAATCACAGCTACTCAGGAGGCTGAGGCAGGAAAATTGCTTGAACCTGGGAGGCGGAGGTTGCGGTGAGCTGAGATCGCACCATCGCACTCCAGCCTGGACAACAAGAACAAAACTCCATCTCAAAAAAAAAAAAAAAAAAAAAAAAAAGCTTCTGCACAGCTAAAGAAACAATAAAGTGAAGAGACAAAGAATATTTGCACATCCCATCTGCCAAGGGATTAATAACCAGAATATATAAGGGGCTCAAACAACTCTACATGACAGTCTAATAATCCTATTAAAAAATGGGCAAAAGATTTGAATAGATATTTTTCAAAAGAATACAAATGGCAAACAGACATATATGAAAAGGGGCTCACCATCACTATTATCAGAGAAATACAAATCAAAACTACAATGAGATCTCATCTCACTCCAGTCAGAATGGCTTTTATCCAAAAGACAGGCAATAGCAATGCTGGCAAGGATGTGGAGAAAAGGGAACCCTTATACACTGTTGGTGGGAATGTAGATTAGTACAAACACTTTGGAGAACAGTTTGAAGGTTGCTCAAAAAACTAAAAGTAGAGCTACCATATGATTCAGCAATCCCACTGCTGGGTATATACCCAAAAGAAAGGAAATCAGTACATTGAAGAGATATTTGCACTCCCATGTTTGTTGCAGTATTGTTCACAATAGCTAAGATTTGGAAGCAACCTAAGTGTCCATCAACAGATGAATGGGTAAAGAAAATGTGGGATATATACACAATGGAGTACTACTCAGCCATAAAAAAGAATGAGACTCAGTCATTTGCAACAACATGCATAGAATTGGAAATTATTATATTAAGTGAAATAAGCCAGGCACAGAAAGACAAACGTCATGTGTTCTCACTGATTCGTGGAATCTAAAAATCAAAACAATTGAACTCATGTACTCATGTACGAAGAGAGTAGAAGGATGGCTACCAGAGGCTGGGAAGGCTAGTGGAAGGCTGGGGAGAAGGTGGGGATGATTAATGGGTACAAACAAAAATAGGAAGAATAAATAAGACCTACTATTTGACAGCACAACAGGGTGACTATAGTCAATTATAACTTAATTGTACATTTTAAAATAACTTAGTGTAATCGGATTGTTTATAACACAAAGGATAAATGCTTGAGAGGATAGATAAAGAAAAAAATAAAATTCATTCTAAAAATAAAAAATTAGCTAGGCATGGTGGCTCGCACCTGTGGTCCCAGCTACCCAGGGGGCTAAGGTAGAAGGATCACTTAAGCCCAGGCTGTTGAGGCTGCAGTGAGCCATGTTCATGCCACTGCACTCCAGCCTGGGTGACAGAGTGACACTTTGCCTCAAAAAAAAAAAACAAAAAAAAACCAAAGACAAAATAAAATAAAATAGACCAATAATGACAGTATGTTGTGAATCAAGAGTTACAGTAATTCCGCATACCTGAGATCCATTATGCCACTCCCTACACACACACACACACACACACACACACACTCACACACACACACACACAGAGAGAGAGAGAGAGAGAGAGAGAGAGCTGAAAACAGCACAGAAGGCTGTCTCTTCCCTTTTCCCCACACCCCTACCTGTGTCCGAGCATTGAGCAGCTGCTGGAAGCTCTCAACCTCTTTGCTGTCATCTGCAGCCCGCTCCTAAGGGAAGACAAAGGGAAATGTCTAGTTTGGGGAAAGCAGTCCTTCACTTCAGGATGTCCCCTTCATTCCACACTTATTGTACTAAGCTGGACACTGTGCCAGACTCCAAGAGTAAAACACTGAACAAGACAGGCATCATCTCTGCCCTCACAGAGCTAACAGCAGTGGGGGAAACCGAATTTTCTGGGTAGGAAGGCAAGGAGAAGGAGCACCTATTACCATCAGCACACCCAGCATCATGTCATAGTTGTTGATCAGAAACACAAGCTGCTCCTTCCTTGAGGAGAACTCAGCTGCCACTCGGAGGACAAAATTCTCCACCTCCACCTGAAAAGGCAGAGAGGAAGAGGTGACACCAGAAAGCAAGGTCATCTGGGCCCCATCTGGCTCCTCCTCAGACTCCACCCACTGGAAGCAGCCCTGCTGCTGGGAAGTGTCTCCTGTCCGACCCTCACCTGCAGCTGTCCCAGCAATTGCATGGTCCGTTCATTAGGAATTGTCTGGTTGATACTGACAAGAGCGGAGGAGAACTCTGCATAGCGGCGTGTGATCTAGGAGAGAGTGGGAAGGAAAATCACACCCACCTCCTGGCCCAACCAACACAACCTCCCAACTTCCTTAGCCAACCCACCTCCATGTGATGTGACTCTACCTTCAGTCCCTCCTACCCACAGTGCACCACTCACCATGAGTTTTACCACCCTCCCAGAACACCTGCTCATAGCGTGGCCCATGACACAACTGTGACCTTGGCCAACCCCCACAATGATGCTTAGAGCCCTGCCTTTCAAGAACCCTTTGTTACCCTTGCCCTCCCTCACATAGTGGGGCCGAGTATCCAACCCCCCTAGGCGCTGGGGGTCAGTGCTTCGGACGCTCTGAACATTCATCTCCAGGATCAGTTCAAACCGTGGCCATAGCAAGGCAAGCACCTGTTCCCAGTACCTGTGGGCTTAATCAGAATCAGAGGTCAGCCAGCAAGGAATGTTGGAGGGGGATGGGAGGGAGTGGGGCATCATTCAGTTTAATGGTCAATAGCTAGTTGTGGGGGTTGGGGGGCAGTGGTTGGAGAAAGGTGAGTCAAAAAGCAGCACTACTGCCTCCGGAGCAAATGAATGGGAATAAAGGTTGATGATACCAGGTCAGTAGGAGTCTAAGGTCAGGGCAGAGTCATGCAAGACCAAGAGAGTTCGTGGCCTGTTGGGCATCAAGGACCAGAATTCAGTGACCTGTCCAGGGCAGGAACATCCCTCTTTGCTGCAATGTTACGGAACCGGAGAACAATGTGGATACAGAGAAAAACAGCAATGGCATCGTAGCAGTCAGCTAGATAAGAATCCAGGTGTTTCTGTGTGATTGGGGAACAAACAGAGGATTAAAAGAGAATGTCAGTTTGTTGTCCTCAGTGACTATGAACAAACGCATTTGTTTCTTTGGGGATGATGCACTGGACAGGACAGAAGGGAGAGACGTAAAATGGAACTGCCCCCTGCTTTCCTGTCCAGGATCTATGTTTTTGGCTTTTTTTTTGTTTTTTGAGATAGAGTTTCACTCTTGCCACCCAAGCTGGAATGCAGTGGCACAATCTCGGCTCACTGCAACCTCCGCCTGCCTCCCAGGTTCAAGCAATTCTCCTGCCTCAGCCTCCTGAGTAGCTGGAATTATAGGCGCCTGCCACCACGCCCGACTAATTTTTGTATTTTAGTAGAGATGGGGTTTCATCATGTTGGTCAAGCTGGTCTCGAACTCCTGACCTCAGGCGATCCGCCCACCTCAGCCTCCTAAAGTGCTGGGATTACAGGTGTGAGCCACTGCACCCGGTGTTTTCGGCTTTAGAGACAGGTTGTTTTGTCACCTAGGCTGGATTGTAATGGTACAATCATAGTTCACTGCAGCCTCAAACATCTGGGCTCAAGTGATGTTCCCACCTCAGCCTGCCAAGCAACTGGGACCATGGGTGTGTACCACCATGCCTGGTTAAGTTTATTTTTAAATTTTTTGTAGAGACAAGGTCTTGCCGCATTGCCCAGGCTGGTCTCGAACTCCTGGCCTCAAGCAATCTTCCTGCCTTGGTCTCCCAAAGTACTGGGATTGCAGGCATAAGCCACTGCACCTGGCCACACCAGGATCTATGATCACAAGCCTATCACAGCAGAGTTCAGGGCTGAGCTTGGGTCAGGGGTTTGAGCACCAAGATTTGGGGGACCCTCAGTTTTCACGTGCTATTGCCTGATTGTGGGTCAGCAGTAGGGGTAGTCTCAGGGACCCTACGCACTGAGGATTTCATGGGGGAGTAACACTGTGACAAGTCTAAGTAACAAGTTTTTTTTTTGAGATGGAGTCTCGCTCTGTCACCCAGGCTGGAGTGCAATGGCGCAATCTTGGCTCACTGCAATCTCCTCCTCCCAGGTTCAAGCAATCCTCCTGCCTCAGCCTCCCGAGTAGCTGGGATTACAGGCCGCGCACACCTGGCTAATTTTTGTACTGTTAGTAGAGACAGGGTTTCATCATGTTGGTCAGGCTGGTCTCAAACTCCTGACCTTGTGATCCTCCCGCCTCAGCCTCCCAAAGTGCTGGGATTACAGGCGTAAGCCACTGCACCTGGCTATTTTTTTTTTTTTTTTTTTTTGAGACAGGTCTCACTCTGGAGTGCATGGCTCACTGCAGCCTTGACCTCCTGGGCTCAAGCAATCCTTCCACCTCAGCATCTTTAGTAGCTGTGACCACAGGCACACATCAACACACACCCGGCTAATTTTTCATTTTTTGTAGAGATGAGGTTGTTGCCCAGGCTGGTCTCAAACTCCTGAGCTCAGGCAATCCTACTGCCTTGGACTCCCAAAGTGCTGGGATTATGGGTGTGCACTACCACGCCCAGCCAAGGCTTAGACATTTTAGAATGAGGCGATCCTGATTTCAGTTCTACCAGAGTCATGACCCCACTATGCTGCTGATGAAGACTGGGGACAAAGGTGTTGAATGGTACAGGAAACAGGAGTCTTACCAGGGTCATGCTGAGTGTACGGCCCATGACAGCATGGAACAGGTCGTGTGCAGCTGGGCCAGACACAACAAAAAATTCACAGATGAAAAGGTATTCGCGGCAGGAATTGTCTAGGAGGGCGTAGTGCTGGCTGCGGAAGAGGGCCTCAAATGGATACTGGGAGAGGAGGAGTAAAGAAGAAAAACAGAAGGGATGGACCCCAACACTGACTTCCCATGGATATGGCTGGAAAATCAGTAAACCTGAGTAATAAGAGCTAGGCAGACCCTTCGCATCTATCTAGGTCCGGGCTGTCTAAGAGCAAGCTGAATGGGCACTGAAAAGGTGGGGGAACATAGGGGTACAAAAAGGGCCTACACCCACCTGCTGTTGCTACTCCTGCATCCACCTCAACACCTGCCTCTGACTGTCATTCCCCTCATCCAGTCTCTCCCCTCTGCATGCCCTTAAGTCAATGGTTCCCAGCTCTTTTCACATCACAGCAGGCTGGAGTGATTGGAGAAGGCCACTCCCAAGTCTAAGGGGATTAAGACAGGGCCTGCAGGTTGGGAAGCTCTGCCCTGAGGTCTGGCCTTCCCTCCCCACCGTGCTCAGAGCCTCTTTCGTGACTGAAGCTTGTTCCTCCTCATACCCTCTGCTCTCCGCGCTGCGCTGTGTGAGGCACCAGGATGGGGGCCTCAAGTTCAGTGGGGGAGATGACAGAGCCGCGGGTTCCTAGGGTGAAAATGGTGTTCCTGCTGCGGAGCGATGGCTTTGAGAAGAATCGTAAGATGGGTCAGAGTCAGGGAAAACAATGAGACCATAACTGGGCCCAAAGACTCACTATCTGTGGGGACCCCAGACAGGCAGACGTGGCCTAGCCAGCCCTCTTTCCCAGTACTAGGGCCCCACGTGCTGACATCTGTGAATGGGCTTCAGGGTGTCTCTCCCTCCCTTGCAATCATATGCAAAACTATGTGTCAAAATAATGTGTGCATCTTTCTGGGGAGGGAGGCTATAGCTTTCATCACATTCTAAAAGGTTTCAGTCCCATAGGAAAAGGTAAGGAGCAGTGCATTGGTGGCTGGAGTCGAAAGTCCTCCCACTCTCAAGGCCTGGCATGAGGGTTCCCCAGTACTAGGATATCTTTCTTTGCTGTATCTTCCACACCCATTAGATCATCTTTCTCAGCGACTTCCTCATACTAAGGAAAGAGAAAAGAGAACTGATAACCGTCTCTTCCCACAACACAATAAAATATTCCTTGCCCAGGGATGTCCCCTCCTCCCAGTCCATGTGCCCAGGAATACCTCTCCCTCCTGACCTTACCTGCACCTTCATGAGCCGCCCCAGGTAAGAGCGGTAGTAAGACAGGTAAATCTTGCTCAGCGTCTCCACATATTCATCCCTGATCTCCTTTGCTGTTGCTCGTTCATTGCCCAGCAGAAACTGATAGAAGAACCTAGGGGGTCAGGAACATGTCAGTCTACCTGTCTCCCAAGAAACCAGATGCCCACACTAGGCCGCTCAAAAACTCAAAGGCCATCCCATGCACTTCCTTGGGGTTGTGACCTGTACTTCAGCAGGGCCGTCTGGGGGATCTGATAGTTGGTCATGGGTTTCCTGAAGGAATAAATCTTCTGGAGGATAAACTCTCGGATCTTCGTCACTGCCTAGATGTGGGGAACCAAACACAGGGCATGAAGCTGCAACCCTTTTGCTGTATGAGAGGAACTGGGGGAAGCAACAAATGGTAAACATAGGCAGAAGGGTGGTGAATATCTCTTTGGTATTTCTCAAGATTTTCAGGGAAACCCAGAGAGACAAGAATGGGGCTGCCCAGAAAAGGCAGGGTGAAGTCCCTGGAGACAGGCTACAGTGAGCTCTGCCAAGGAAATCCATAGTGAAGATCTTGGGAAGGCTGCTTCCAGTAGCCTCCAGGGTATCCATCCCTACTTCCCACCTTGACCCGGAGCCGATCGAGCACGCCTCTGACATCTGCGCAGGCTGCTGTGCCTCTAGCTTCCTGCTCTCTGACTGCGGCTGCCTTGGCATCCAGCTCCTGTAGCTGCTCCAAGAACCTGGGCTCTGTCACTGGAGCCTCCAGAATTGCCCTGGTTAGCAGGGAGGGGTGGGATGAGTTACAAGGGAGACCCAGACATCCCTAAACCAGACCCAGACCACACTCCTTACCTCCAGCCCCTGTCATCTCTACCACCTTGCATTGTACCATATAGTCAGGACACATGTACAAAGTTTTCTATTCCTGGACCTCCCCACTATACACCTGATCTTACATCATTCTTAATCTTAATCTTTGATGCCTAATGCATACCTAAAGAAATGGTGGTTAACCTGGCTACTAATTTCTAAAAAGCACTTAACCTGGAGCCAGGAGACCCATATGGTAAATAGGGTGGGTCACCCCAGCCCATCCACCTGCTATGGACATTATAACCCTTCAAACTGGTAACTCACGTGACCAGAGCAGAAGGCACCACCAGACCATCAACAAGCTCCCCAAGTTTCCCCCGAACTGCCTGGCGATTTCGAAGTCGAATGTTCATGGCTCCTGACTGTTCCTGCAGTGTCCGGATCTCAGAGCTGATGGAGCTGAGGTCACTCTGAAAAGCTCCCAACATCTGCTCCATTCGCTGTAGGGAGGGTAGATGTTGCCGGAGTGCTATAGGGTTTGTAGGGGATAAGTGGGCCACCAAAGACTCTTTGTGAAGTCTTCAGTATTTATCAGTCCTTGAGGGTGGCAGATGATGAGACACCCCAGATTATCAGGAAATAACATTAAATATGGCAGTAATAACAAAAAAGGCTCCTGAAGTCATCTTGAAAATGACCCTAACCTGTCCCCATCTTGAGGCTGATGACCTAAAAATGGCACCAGAGTCCATGATCTGGTTCAGAGTAGCTATTAGGGGTCACAGGTCATGATTACTAACCTCCAGGACAGCATCACAGGCTGTGATCTGGTTGTGTAGAGATGCTATATTCTCACTCTCTTGAATATCTGATCCACAAAAAGTCAAGGGGCCTCATGGTGAAGATGGGAGATCCTCAGATTTGTAGTACCTCTCCAATTTCTCTTTGAAGTGATAGAAACCTCAGAGATGTTGACCCCAGCTGGGACATCTGTACCACACGCCACAAAATCCCCATGTCAATAGCACCACCCCTTCCCTCTGCTGGAGGATACAATCCCGAATGGATTTCTGTTCAATCTGCTGTAGCTCCAGCTCAACTTGCTTTGAATAGTGACGGAGATCTACACCCTGGGAGAACATAAAGATGACAGGTCAGAAGGAAGTCTCAGTAAAGGGACACTGTAACAGAATCAGTGAAGGACTAAAGGGTCAGATACCAGGCTGATACAACAAAAGCAAGAGACTGTTGTTTTTCCTTTTGGGGTAGAATAGATAGAAGGGCAGATTAGTACAGGGGAAAGCCTCACCGTTTTAAGAGCTTCCTTTACTAACTCATCCTCCAGATTTGCCTGAATGTGAACTGGAAATAGAAGTTTATCATAAGGGTCCAGCTCCACAGCTCCCTCTCCCCACATTGAGTATCTGCACACCAATCCCTACCTTATTCCTTCCAGCCCCCATGCCTCTCAGATTACAGGTACTGCACCCACCCCATGCCATCGCTTACCATCCACTTCATCCAGGATGAATTCATCAGAAGTGATATCCAACTCCCCAAGTTGCAGTGGTTCCTGGAGCCCAGGACCACCCGCCTGGAAAGGGATAAGTTAATGGGAGTAGGGTACGGTGAAAGACAGAAAGAAAAAATATAATTGGATATCCCCAGTCCTTCAAGTGAGAAGGAGCTGCTTTTACTGGGAGCCACAGGTACTGCTTTGAAAAATTCTAAGAGTCTCACGTTGTACCCACTCTCCTATTTTGTGCTGATGGGTAAGGAATACGACAAGGAGTGAGACGATCCAGTGAGACAGTGGAGGTAGCCCAGCATGGTGGTGGGCTCCTTGTAGTCCCAACTACTTAGAAGCTGAGACGGGAAGATTGTTTGAGGAGATCAGGAGTTCAAGGTCAACCTGGGTAACACAGGGAAACCCGTCTCAAGAAAACAAAAAAAGGTAAAAGACAAGACAGTGCAGTGGAGGCCGGACGCAGTGGCTCACGCCTGTAATCCCAGCACTTTGGGAGGCCGAGGTGGGAAGATCACGAGGTCAGGAGATCGAGACCATCCTGGCTAACACAGTGAAACCCCGTCTCTACTAAAAAATACAAAAAAATTAGCCGGGCGCGGTGGCGGGCGCCTGTAGTCCCAGCTACTTGGGAGGTTGAGGCAGGAGAATGGCGTGAACCCGGAAGGTGGAGCTTGCAGTGAGCCAAGATCGCGCCACTGCACTCCAGCCTGGGCGACAGAGCAAGACTCCGTCTCAAAAAAAAAAGTGCAGTGGAGATGACCGAATGAGGAAAGCTAGGAATTGCAGAGGATAGAGCAGAACTTGCACTTAAATTTAGGACCCTCAGACTCCTGCCATCTTGGGTGTTCTATCACACCTCTGGGGAACCCCAGGCTTTCTAGAAATGTCAAAACACATAGTGTTTACCTGCATGCCAGGTGCAATCTTACACATATTCATCTAATCCTAACGACGTTGTATACAATAGGTTCTATCTTCCTCACCTTAAAGGTGTGAGAAATGATGGCACAGAGAAGCTGGTTAACTTGCCCAAGGGCACACAGCGTGTAAGTGGCAGAGATAGAACTCAGGCAGTCTGGCTTCAGAGGCCATGTTCTTAACCTTTACACTATACTACTTCGTGACTCTACCCCAAAATGTGGAGTGAAGTTGAAATTTTGTGCCCCAGAACATGAGTTTCAGCCACTAGGGTCCCGCTCAGGGTCGGGTCTGATCACAGGGAAGGGTACGGGGAGCCAAACAGGTAATATCACGGGTAGCAGCCAAGTTCCCACCCTTGTGCCTAAACCCAGCTCAGGTCTTTCTGAAGCTAGGAGCACCGGAACTACGGAGGAGAAACAGCTCCGCGCTCTCACCAGCGGGCCCTCTTCCTCCTCCATATCTGAGGTCCCAGCCCGCAACACCAGTTCCCGGGCCGCAGCCGCCATGGTCGCAGCGGCGGCCATTCCCCGCAGCCTCACTTCCGGCAACTGTCAGTCCCGGCGAGTCCGTTCCCCGGAGTGGAGCTACAAGTCCCAAAGGGTCTTCCTCAGCGCGAAATCGTTCCCAGATATTTGAGTTAAGTTGTTTGACTCCAGCTGTCCCCTTTCAGCTCTAACCACTTCACCCAACTGCAAATGGAAATATGGAAGTCTGAAACACAAACTAGCCCCGGAACCTTCGCTGTTCTCTTACCTATGAACCTTACGAACTGTAAAGAAAGGCGCACCGGAAGTTGTGGTACCCAAGCCATACTCTCATAAATCCAGCCAGGTCGCGCTGAAACAGTTTCCGGAAGCACTTCTCCTAGATCGCACCGCCTCTTCCTCCTGGAAGCTATATAATGATATCGCGTCACTTCCGCTCTCTCTTCCACAGGAGGCCTACACGCCGCCGCTTGTGCTGCAGCCATGGTAAGGCTGGAATCCGTGCCGTGATCCAGCGGCATCGCAGCTCGGGCAAGGAAAGCCGGCTGTCAGGGTTCTGGAAACGTCCTGCCCTGAGGGCCTGCGACTTTCTGTATGGAGCCTTGGATCGCGTCCCTGGAAAGGGACACCAAAGATTTCCAATTCCGGAGAGCGGGCCCGAGGAAGGGTCACTGCTCGGGCGCACGAAAGCTGTCTAAGGCTTGGGCGTATATGGGGAACTCTGGCTTTTGCCACGCACTTTTGGGAATGGGCAGGAGACCTGCTTCCTCTCTCCAGAGGTTGCATTTTCCCAAGCTTGAACGCTTCATGTGCCTACTCTGCAGGACTGAGGAGTTTGCTCTGTGGTGTGAAAACCTAAGGAATGGGGGGCGGGTGTCTTGCCACTTGTGTGACAGGCTTAACCTTTTTGTATGAAGTTCGTTTGCCTTATCGGCCTTACTGTTTGATAGTTTACTGTGTCTGATTTCTTCCCCCGTACTTTTTCAACTAGTCTCTAGTGATCCCTGAAAAGTTCCAGCATATTTTGCGAGTACTCAACACCAACATCGATGGGCGGCGGAAAATAGCCTTTGCCATCACTGCCATTAAGGTGAGTGAAGTAGGGTAAGGAATAGGGAATGTAAATGAGAATTGGGTTGTGAAGACATAAGCAAAAATGAAGCAAGGCTGGGGAGACTTGAGTCTCATCCAGATCACCTTGACTGCTGGATTAAGAAAAGAAAGTGGTTTAGGGAGAGACTGACCCCTTTAGCATTTACCACAGAAAATAAGTGATTAAAGCCAATATAGTGGTCTAAGGTCAAGCCAAAACATTTCACCTGGGGAAGTGGGGAGGAGGTATGGTTGCTCACCCGAATTCGCTAAGATTTTCCTGAACCACGAGCTTGTGAGATTTCTTCTAGATTCGGTTTCTTTACCCATCCCACCATCATAACAGCAACCCTTCCTGCGAAATTTATATTCCCTGAGAATTGGAGGATTATTGGGCATCTTGAGGGATAAGTAGAAATACCAACAGATAAAAAGTGTGAAGAAGCCTGTAGATGGAGGGTGGAAGAAGTCTGAGTGGGACATTTACTCAGATGAGCCATAATTGACACTCCTTTCCTGTCGAAGTGTGAAGGAGTACATCCATCTTTCTTTGGCTTTTAAGAATCGAATCAATGAATGCAAGAATATTATTTCACTTGAGTATTTCTCTCCACAAACCTAATGAATTCCTGGCTTTCTAGATACATAACGTTCTTTTTTTTTTCCTTAAGTCAGAATGTGTAGTTAGTTGTGGAAATAGCCTACCAGTATGTGTCCATGCGTGCAGGGCTAGGCCTGTCTTCTTGGCTTCTGTTGCATGGTAGGTACTTAGGCGACGTTAGGGAATGGATAGTAGTAGGGATACTGTTGGCTCTGTTGAGGAATTTGTAGAGGGAAATTCCTTCTGTTGGGTGCTCTGTGAAACTAATAAGGCAGTGTGAAATACTGTACTTATTTCAGAGACCGGCTGTGAGGCTTAAGTAGAGGTGCAGCATTCATAAGTGTAATAGAGAATAACCTTCATGGATGTATCTAACTAAAAATTAGAAATCTTATTTCATCTATATCTCTTCCCACACCCATTTTGAAGTAAATCTTTTCACTTGTAAACATATAATTAAATTTGAGGCTTAGTGCAGTGGCTCACTCGGAGGCTGAAGTGGGCGGATCCCCTGAGGTCAGGAGTTCGAGACCAGCCTGGTCAACATGGTGAAACCTCGTCATTTAATTAATAAATAAATTTGAAAGACCCTGCTCTCTTCTGAATCAACCTAATAATTTGACCCTTGGTCATGTTTATTTATTTATCCCGAGACAGAGTCTCACCCCGTCACCCAGGCCGGAGTGCAATGGTGCAATCTTATCTCACTGCAACCTCAGCCTCCCAAGTAGCTGAGATTACAGGCACACGCCCAGCTAATTTTTGTATTTTTAGAAGAGATGGGGTTTCACCATGTTGGTCAAACTGGTCTTAAACTTCTGACCTCAGGTGATCCACCCACCTCAGCCTCCCAAAGTGCTGGGATTATAGGCGTGAGCCACTGCACCCAGCCACATTTATTTTTTGAGACTGTCGCCCAGGCTGGAGTGGCGGAATCACTCTTCACTGCAGCCTCGACCTCCAGGGCTCAAGTCAATCCTCCTACCTCAACTTTCCAAGTAGTTGGGGCTACAGGTGTGCACCACCACATCTGGCTAATCTGGATCTTGCTGTGTTGTCCAGGCTGGTCTTGAACTCCTGGGCTCAGTGATCCTCCAGCCTCAGCCTCCTAAAGTGCTGGGATTACAGGCATATAGGCATGAGCCACGGTGAAGCCAACCCTTGATCTCTTTCTTGCAGATAGGAACTGCCATTTGTTTTAGTTTCCTGGAGCCTACTGTAACAAGTTCATATAAACTAAGCAGAAAATTACTCTTGGCGCTGGAGGCACTTAAGAATCCTACCTTGCCTCTTCCTGTCTTCTGGTGGTTGTCAGTAATCCTTAGTGTTCCTTGGCTTGTAGCTGCATTACTCCAATCTGTTGCTGTCATCTCATGGTCCTCTTCGTGTGTCTCTCATGATTTGTCATTGGATCTAGAGCCCACCCTAATCAAATATAACGTCATTTTACCTAATTATTTCCGTAACGACCTTATTTCCAAATAGGGCCACATTCTGATGTTCTAGTTGGACAAAATGAGGGGCAGGGCTCAGTATTCAGTTCCTCCTTCACTCTCCAAATCACTTTGGTTCATGAGTTCAGATGGCATGGGTGCTAGTGCTGGTGTTGATGTGATGCTACCAATGTAAGCATTAGTTTCTTTTTATAATAACTTGGGCAGTCAGTTCTGGGCACTGACAAAATTGAGTTTGTGATCTTGGAATACTTTGATTATGGGGATAAAGTGATTTGCCTAAATAATTGTGACCCTTAGAGATTCTGAGGAACTGACAGCCCAATACCTTAATCAAAGCCTGTAACTCATAAGACCCTGGTTTACTGCATCAGCTTGGAGTGGCAGGCCCCTTGTTCTCCTAAATGCAAGAATCAGAAGGCACTTAGTGACAACTACATATGCTGAGCAATGGGGGAAAAAAAGATACTGCCTGCTTTCAAAGGGTTGTCTGTAATACTAAATTCTGTGTTCATGATTCAGTCATACCCCTGAACAAAGTTACTTTTTTCTTTTTTTGAGACGGGGTCTCACTGTCGCCCAGGTTAGAGTGTGGTTGCGTGATCTTGGCTTGCTGCAACCTCCACCTCCTAGGTTCAAGCTATTCTGCTGCAGCCTCCCAAGTAGCTGGGATTACAGGCACCTGCCACCATGCTCAGCAACTTTTCTTGTATTTTTAGTAGAGACAGGGTTTCACCATGTTGGCCAGGCTGGTTTTGAACTCCTGCCCTCAATGTCATCTGCCCACTTGGGCCTCCCAAAGTGCTGGGATTACAGGCGTGAGCCACTGCGACCGGCCCAAAGTTAACCTTCTGTCGAACGGTTTATATCTGGAAAGGTGGGTGAGGAAAGGGTGACCTAGGGGATTGCAAAATAGATTATTGCAGATCCTACCTTTGTGAGCTTTTTGAATGAGGCTATAAAGGAATTTAAAAATCAGATTCAACACTAATTCCGAAACCCCTCACTTCATTCAGGGTGTGGGCCGAAGATATGCTCATGTGGTGTTGAGGAAAGCAGACATTGACCTCACCAAGAGGGCGGGAGAACTCACTGAGGATGAGGTGAGGACAAGGAAGGGGGCTGGGGGTGGGGTCAGCCTCAGAAAGGGGTCCATCTAGATCTGACCTTGGTCTGCCTGCCAGGTGGAACGTGTGATCACCATTATGCAGAATCCACGCCAGTACAAGATCCCAGACTGGTTCTTGAACAGACAGAAGGATGTAAAGGATGGAAAATACAGCCAGGTGTGTACTGAAATGAGGGCAGGATTAGAGGAAGGGTGGAGGGTCCTAACAGAATTGGGCATAGGAGGTCAGGGGATAAAACATCCCTTGCCCCCTCCTCTGAATCCAGGTCCTAGCCAATGGTCTGGACAACAAGCTCCGTGAAGACCTGGAGCGACTGAAGAAGATTCGGGCCCATAGAGGGCTGCGTCACTTCTGGGGGTGAGTGGGGGGTCTCATCTCCCTGCCTACCTCGACTCAGCATTCCTCCTACTCGCTCTTCTTTTTCCCCAACCTTTTGTTTCTGCTGTGCATGACCTGTGACTCTTCTCTTTTTACCTGCAGCCTTCGTGTCCGAGGCCAGCACACCAAGACCACTGGCCGCCGTGGCCGCACCGTGGGTGTGTCCAAGAAGAAATAAGTCTGTAGGCCTTGTCTGTTAATAAATAGTTTATATACCTATGGCTTCCTGTCCTTTCTGTCCATTCTAATAGGGAATGTTAAAGTGCTGGGTCCTTTTTCCATTTAGAGCTGCCCTACTCAGTTGCCCACACAGTGCTATTAGTTTTAGCAGTGGTGATGCTGCAGACCCCCCAGTCTCCCTATATGTAGCTAGTGATGTCCCTCTCTGTAAAGAGAAATGTGAGGGTAAAACAGTTCAGCCTTGAGGGGCTGACCCAGACCAGTTTAGAGACCAACACCCTGGGGTTGGTGTGCAGCATCATTGTGGAGTGGGTTAGCTGAGCCTAGCCAGTTGCAGTTAAGGTGAGTTTGCAGGTCTTGGTCACTCTGGGTTTTTTTGTTTTTGTTTTTGTTTTTTTTTAAGGGGTCATCTAGTCATAAGGGAAAATCCTTCGGGCTGTGACCGAAGCAACAAAGGCAAAAACGCGGACCTTGGTTATGAAGGGTGTGGTCTCCCTGGTGGAGTACGTCGGTGGGTTGGGATGGGGAGCGGCTGGACAGACCGGTCTCACTCCGTTTGGTGCCACTCCACCCGCCCGGGTTTCCGCGCCCTGCCGCGCTGCTCCGACGCCGCTTCCGGCGGGGATGGGAGCGCGCAACGCGGAAGCGGGCGGCAGACCGGCCGCCGGGGCGAGGCGGGGGAGGGGCCGTGAGTGCCGCAGTCGGCCAGCCATGGAGCGGAGCTTGCTGGCGGCGAGGCCGCGGCGACAAGGTAGCCACCCCCGCAGCATGCCTCGACCGCGGTCCGCAGCTGCACCGCCTCTCCCCGCCCCCCAGGGTGCGCTGGTCCCGGTCGCGCGCTCAGACCTCCGCATCCCGGGCGTGGTCGGTTAAGTCCCCGGCCGTGACCCAGGCCCGGGGAGCTAGTCTCCGCCCTTCGCTCTTACGGATCCCCTCGGAGTACGCCGCACCATGCAGCTCAGGCTCTTCCGGCGCCTCCTTCTCGCCGCTTTGCTGCTGGTGATCGTCTGGACCCTCTTCGGGCCTTCGGGGTTGGGGGAGGAGCTGCTGAGCCTCTCACTAGCCTCCCTGCTCCCAGCCCCCGCCTCACCGGGGCCGCCCCTGGCCCTGCCCCGCCTCTTGATCCCCAACCAGGAAGCTTGCAGTGGTCCCGGGGCCCCTCCCTTCCTGCTCATCCTGGTGTGCACGGCTCCGGAGAACCTGAACCAGAGAAACGCCATTCGGGCTTCGTGGGGCGGGCTGCGCGAGGCCCGGGGGCTCAGGGTACAGACGCTATTCTTGCTGGGAGAGCCGAACGCACAGCACCCCGTGTGGGGTTCCCAGGGGAGTGACCTGGCCTCGGAGTCAGCAGCCCAGGGGGATATCTTGCAGGCCGCCTTCCAGGACTCCTACCGCAACCTCACCCTAAAGACCCTCAGCGGGCTGAACTGGGCTGAGAAACACTGCCCCATGGCCCGATACGTCCTCAAGACGGACGATGATGTGTATGTCAACGTCCCTGAACTGGTATCAGAGCTGGTCTTGCGAGGGGGCCGTTGGGGGCAATGGGAGAGAAGCACGGAACCCCAGAGAGAGGCTGAGCAGGAAGGAGGCCAGGTTTTGCACAGCGAGGAAGTGCCTCTTCTGTACTTGGGCCGGGTGCACTGGCGCGTGAACCCCTCTCGGACACCGGGGGGCAGGCACCGCGTATCAGAGGAGCAGTGGCCTCACACCTGGGGCCCCTTTCCACCCTATGCCTCAGGCACGGGGTATGTGCTGTCAGCGTCTGCTGTGCAGCTCATTCTCAAGGTGGCCAGCCGGGCACCCCTTCTCCCATTAGAGGATGTCTTTGTGGGGGTAAGTGCCCGACGAGGAGGCCTCGCCCCAACACAGTGTGTCAAGCTGGCTGGTGCCACCCACTACCCGCTAGACCGGTGCTGCTATGGGAAATTCCTGCTGACGTCCCACAGGCTGGACCCCTGGAAGATGCAGGAAGCCTGGAAGCTGGTGGGTGGCTCTGACGGGGAAAGGACTGCGCCCTTTTGCTCCTGGTTCCAGGGAGTCCTGGGCATCCTGCGGTGTCGAGCAATAGCCTGGCTTCAGAGCTGAGAGTGCCTGGGGCCACAGGAAAGGCAGGAACAGGACCTTCTCTCTCCCAGGCCCAACGCAGGGGCCCTCACTGGCTGCAGCTGATCTGTTTCCTTATACCAGATCCTCAGTCTCACTAAAGACAGCGATATGGGAGACACCCAGGGGCCTGGCCCGCCAGCCCAAAAGATGGTCATCGGGAAGAAAAAAAGAAAAAAATGCTGCAGTTGTTCTCTCAAGCTAGGGCAGAAGAGGGGTGTCAAGCTCCTCAATAAACTTGTCTCCACTTCTTCGAGTGCAGTGTGGTCTTCACCAGGACCCCCAGAACACCACAAACCTGGAGAGCCCAGAGGCTGCCAGACCCTGCTGCATGGGAAGGACATCTCCAGGGACATGGGAGAGAGGACAGCCTCTCTGAGGAGGAAGGCCCCTAAAAGGCAAAGCTAAGGCCACAGCAGCCACAAGGTATGGGGTGGGGGTAGAGGCAGGACACTGACCCCTCCGATCCTAGAATGGCCTCATGCTTGGCAAGGGGGAGGGGAACAGGTCCACAAGATGATCCAGACACATTATCCAAAAAATCGCTTTCCTCTTTAATACCAACCCACCCCAGGAGACAGCTGTCCACCCCCAGTTGGGGAAGGGGCCACACTGCCCCCACCTCCTTGTTCCAGGGAACACTCATTTCCCTACAGGTGATCTTGGGGAGAGACTGTTCCCAGGCAACCCTGGAGTCTGGCTCAGCGCACAAATCTGTCCAGGGCAGATGGCCGGGCCCCCGTGGGCTTGGCCTTCGCCTCCTTATGATGCTGCTGCTGAAGGCTCTGCCGGACCTTGTCCTGGGGACCGGAGACGGGGAGGACACAGGCACAGAGTGAGAAGTGGCAGGCTGACAAGGGCAGAGGCACAAGCAGGAGGGTGCAGCCTGTGGAAGGCCCGGCCCATGCCAATGCTCATTTACCCTGTGTTCCTCATCCATGACCTTCCTCTTCCTCTTCACCAGGCTTGCCGTGGAGCTGCGGCCCTTCTGCTTTGGCTTTGGCTGGAAGGGAGCCTTAGCCTGCGGGTCATAGCCCTGAGGGAGGGGACAGGAGTGATATCTGTTACAGCCTCGGAGTCAGGGAACTGGCAGCACCCACCTGCTGGCCGCACTTCTGGGGACAAGCCATGGTGGGGAGAGGATGTGGGGGAGAAGACGGGCCTGGGCATTCAGGGGCCTGCTCCATACCAGCCTCTCTATCTGCTCCTTCTTTCCCTGCTCCAGGGAGATGACATCCACCTCGGCCAGGGCTCGTGGGTCCAGACAAATAAGCTCTGCAGGTACCTGGGGGTGTCACAGAGGGACAGGACTCAGCAAGGAGCCACAGGAGGGTAGCACCAAAAAGAGAAGCCAGGGAGGCTGCTGAACCCCTCTACCCAAGACCCCCAGCATGAGACATCAGGAGAGCTTTCTCTACCTCCAACCCCAAACCACACCTTCCCCAGCAGCAGGGGCCTCACTCTCTGCAGCAGGGGAACCTCACCTCCAACAGGGGCAATCTCACCCTCTCCAGCAGGGGGGAACCTGACCCTCTCCAGGAGAGGGAATTTCACCCTCTCCAGCAGAGGGAAACCTGACCCTCTCCAGCAGGGGGAATCTCACCCTCTCCAGCAGAGGGAAACCTGACCCCGTCCAGGAGAGGGGAATCTCACCCTCTCCAGGAAGAGGAAACCTTACCTTCTCCAGCAGGGGGGAACCTGACCTTCTCCAGCAGTGGGGAACCTGACCTTCTCCAGCAGGGGGGAACCTGACCTTCTCCAGGAAGGAGGAACCTCACCCTCTCCAGGACGGGGGAACCTGACCCTCTCCAGCAATGGGGGGAATCTCACCCTCTCCAGCAGGGGAGCCTCACCTTCTCTAGCAGGGCCTTCACCTCCCACTCCTGGCGCTGCTTCCGGCTTCTGTATGGATTACTCTCCAGGCCATCGAAGTTGGGCTCACCGGCCCCTGAAGGGAGGGAGGGAGAAGCATGGAGCCATAAGGAAGAACCTCAGTCCAACAGCTCCAGCCCAACTAAGCCCCCAGTTCCTGGATGTCTCTGGCCCAAACTTCCACCCAGAGTTCATTCACTTCAAGCCCCATCCCCTGGCCCACTCACCAGGGACCAGCATGCTGGTGATGCCCCCAGTGTGCCCCACCCCCAGCACATCTTCAAAGGGGCAGAACTGAAGGCCATGCACAGGGCCTGAGAGCCGGTGGGTGAGGTAGGGCTGTTCAAGGGAGGGTGGGCTGGCCTTGCCCTGCCCTGCCCAGATGTTGACAACGTCACCCATTCCCGCCACCAGCAGTCCCCTCTGGGAGAAGGCCAGGTGCCCTGCTCCATGGGGCAGGGTCCGAGTGCTCAGAGGCTGGTACGTCCCTCGCAAGTCAAAGATCTTCAGCTGGTGGTCTAGGCCAGAGGTGGCCATGTACCTGGTGAGAGAAGAGGGATCAATTAATATGTCAGTAAATGGGTTTACCAAGCAAGCTGTGGCCAAGTCCAGGCATCAAGTCTGGCTGGGGAGAAAAAGATTAATAGTAATAACCACTGCCATCACCCTGAACACTCCACAGGCATCCTCTCAGTTAAGCTGCACACAACTCATACTATTTTTATTTCCCTTTAAGAGGTGAGGAAACTGAAGCTCAGGGAAAGGAAAGCTAGGTCAGTGAATGGTCAGGCCTGTCTCTTTAGCATCTGCCTCTAACCTGCTAACACCACACAGCCCTCTCAAGACACGGGCGTCAAAAGGAACGCCCACACGACAGGCTGCACCCAAATGTGATGTCCCCCTGTACACACATGCAGCACACAGCCCAGCAAGGGGAAGGAGCATGTGCAGTGGTCAGAAAGGCTTCATGGGAAAGGTGGGATTTGAGCCATTCTAGATAATTCTCAAAAAATTACAGGAAGTAGATACACAGCAGGTTCAAATGCATTAACACCAGAGTGTTGAGACTGAGAGGGAAGCAGAGGTTTGTTAGGATTGGTGGGAAACATGGTCAGGAAAATCAGGAGCAGACAATTTGTGAGGTTTCTTTAAAGTCAGACTGAGGACCCACAGCTCATGATCCCAACATTGCTCTCTGGCAGTGACAAATCACAAAGTGAAGGCTCCAAGGACTTGAGAAGACCTACTCAGGGAAGTGGTGAAGTAATGCACTGGAGGCCCTTGCCCTGCCCCTCTGTGTGCTTTCCCTGGAAGGAAGGAGGGAAGGTTGGTGACCAAATCCTCTCCAGGAATCATGTACTGCATAAGTTGTTTACTTTCAGAAGTTGGAGTTCCTTTTCTTTTTTTGAGACAGGGTCTCTCTGTTGCCCAAGCTGGAGTGCAGTGGCATGACCCTGGCTCACTGCAGCCTCTGCCTCCCTGGTTCAAGTGATTCTCGTGCCTCAGCCTCCCAAGTAGCTGGGATTACAGGCATGCGCCACCACCGCTAATTTTTAGTAGAGCCAGGGTTTCGCCATGTTGACCACGCTGGTCTTGAACTCCTGGCCTCAAATGACCTGCCCACCTTGGCCTCCCAGAGTGCTGGGATTACAGGTGAGGTTGGAGTTTCTATGTTCAAGTTGTTCCTTAGAGAGGGAAGCTGAAGGGGGACCAGCCAGGTAGGGGATGTATGTTTGCCAAGAGGCCAAGGAGTCTCTTTTTTGCCTTGGCTGTGAACCCAGGAGAAGGGAACTGAAGAGTTCTTATGAGCAGAGACTTGCACAGTGATGGAGCCCAAGAGAGGACCAGCTGGATACTTCCGACAAGATAATCAGCGCCCTGACTTTACCAAAGAGAAAGGCCATCAGTGCAAACCAGGAATTACCGAGCGCTCGTGGAACACAGGGTCACATCCTTTGGTGAACTAACAACTCAAGGATGCATGCTGGCTCTTCTCCCCTCCACACACCCATCTATGGGACCCCTGGGTAAAGACCAGCCCAGTGCCAAATGGGAGTCTACTGTACTACTAGTAAGCAGCAGTTCGGCTTTGAGAAGTCAACGCAATCCAATCATAATACAAGCTACCAGAACACCTCTTAAGAAAGATGGTCAGCCTCATCACTGGAGCCCCCGTGGCCTGACAAGCTCCTGAGGAGGACCAGAGAAAAGCAGGGATGGGCTGAAGATCACAAGGACCAGAGCTGTTTAGCATCAAGGTGTTGATTAAACTTCAGGCCTCAGCGAACTAGTGATTAAGCCCTAAGCACAGGAGTGGCTGACCCAGGTAGCCCACGGAGGGCAAGCTACAGCTTTGGCCCAGTGGCCCAGAGAGGGCAGAAACCCTTGGGCAGGCCTTCTGACTCTCCTAGAGCCAGGCTGGTATAAATATGGAGTAAAAAGGGCAGAACCAAATCACTCATTCACAAAGATACAATTACAAAGGCCAGACACGGTGGCTCACGCCTATAATCCCAGCACTTTGGGAGGACAGGCGGGTGGATCACAAGGTCAGGAGTTCAAGACCAGCCTGGCCAACATGGTGAAATTCCATCTGTACTACAAATACAAAAATTAGCCGGGTGTGGTGGCACACACCTGTAGTCCCAGCTTCTCAGGAGGCTGAGGCAGGAGAATCGCTTGAACCCAGGAGGTGGAGGTTGCAGTGAGCCGAGACCACACCATTGCACTCCAGCCTGGGTGACAGAGTGAGACTCCGTCTCAAAAAAAAAAGATACAATTATGCAAAAACAGGGAGCGGGTGGTGGGGGGGGTGGTCCCAGCATCCTGGAGACTTTGAATAAGCTGGTGGCCAAGCTGGATGTGGTGGCTCACAGTAATTACTCTGTAATCCCAGTACTTTGGGAGGTTGAGGTAGGAGGACCGCTTGAGCCCAGGAGTTCAAGACAGAGACCAGCCTGGGCTACATGGTGAAACCCCATCTCTACAAAAAATAGAAAAATTATCCAGGTGTGGTGGTGTGTACCTGAGTCAAATTCTGGGTGACAGGAAAATTCTGGGAGATGAGAGCAGGTCAAGAGAAACTTTAGGAGGCGGTGACCTATCCAGTGATGGACACATTGAGTCTGGGATGACAGAGGATAACTGTGTAGAAACTAATGGCATCACCTGAGCTAGGCGTGGTGGCTCATGCCTGTAATCCCAGCACTTTGGGAGGCCGAGGTGGGCGGATCACCTGAGGTCAGGAGTTTGAGACCAGCCAAGCCAACATGGCAAAACCCCATCTCTACTAAAAATACAAAAATTAGCGCATGCAGTGGCATGCACTTGTACTCCCAGCTACTTGGAGGCTGAGGCAGAACAATCACTTGAGCCTAGGAGGCGGAGGTTGTAATGAACCGAGATCGCGCCACTGCACTCCAGCCTGGGTGATAGATCAAGACTCCGTCTCGAAAAATAGTAATAAAATAAATAAATGCATCACCTGGCCAATCATTCTCAAAAACCATAGCCATGGCCGGGTGCAGTGGCTCACGCCTGTAATCCCAACACTTGCACTTTGGGAGGCCGAAGCAGGTGGATCACGATGTCAGGAGTTCAAGACCAGCCTGGCCAAGATGGTGAAACCCCATCTCTACTAAACATTAAAAAATTAACTGGGCGTGGTTCGTGGGCGCCTGTAATCCCAGCTACTCAGGAGGCTGAGGCAGGAGAATCGCTTGAACCCCGGGGGGCAGAGGTTGTGGTGAGCTGAGATTGTGCCACTGCACTCCAGCCTGGGTGACAGATCAAGACTCTGTCTCAAAAAAAAAAAAAAAATAGCCACAAGTTTTTATACCTAAAGGATAACGGGAGCACCACACCAGGGCAGGCTCAACGATTCATCCTTTTATCTCCAGAACCTCAGCGCAGAGCCCTGCCCACAGCAGGTGCCCAGTGAATACCTGATGACAAAAGGAATCAGAGGAAAATACAAATCAGACAGAAAAGCTGTGGAAAATGCAGATACTCCCTCAGGAACAGCAGAAATCCAAAGCAGACACCACCTCCACCCCTCACATCAGCCAGACCTGGAGAGAACGATCATCTTGAATGACAATGATGAACACAGCACTCCCTATTTTGCTAAGCGCTGTGCTAAACTATATGCCTTAACTCATCTTAATGTCTACAACAGCTTATATGAGGGCTTTAAACCAAGGCTTGGTAAACTACTGCCCATGGGCCAAACCTGGCCCATCATCTAGTTCTGTATAGCCCACAAGCCAAGAATGGTTTTTACATTTTTAAGTGGTTGAAAAAAAATCAAAAGAATATTTTGAGACTGTGAAAACCGTATGAAATTCAAATTCCAATATCCAACAAATAAAGTTTTATTGGAACGGGGCCACACTATTTACTTAATACTGTGGCTGCTTTTGCTCTACAACACACAGCCGAGTGGTCACGACAGCGACTACAGCATCCTGATTTGCACTGCTGCTTTGTACACTACAAGTCACAGTGACACAGTCGTAAGTGCTTCACAGCATTTCAAGCACCTCACATATCACCTATCATTACCTGTGTGAAAAGATGTTTTCAAAGATGAAATACTTGCAATCTCTACAGATCAGCATGAACATGAATATCTACAGTCAAATTTGACCATCTGGAACACTAACTTTGTACATCAATTAGGCAAAATGTTAACCTCAAAAAGAGAAATTCAGTTCTTCCCATTAGTAGATCTGTATTACACAAATATCATATTTGATTATTATTATTTTTTTTTTCTGAGACCGGGTCTCACTCTGTTGCCCATGCTAGAGTGCAGTGGCATGATCACAGCTCACTGCAGCCTTAACCTCCTGGGCTGAGGTGGGAGGATCACCTCAGCCTCCTGAGTAGCTGGGACTACAGGCATGCACCACCACACCCGGCTAATTTTTCTATCTTCTGTAGAGACAGAGTTTTGCCATGTCATGGGTGACATGGCTTGTTTCGAACTTCTGGGCTCAAGTGATCTGCCCACCTCAGCCTACCAAACTGTTAAGATTACAGGCATGAGCCACTGTGTCCAGTCTCATATTATGTTTTGTTTGTTTGTTTGTTTTTGAGACGGAGTTTTGCTCTTGTTGCCCAGGTTGGAGTGCAATGGCACAGTCTTGGCTCACTGCAACCCCTGCCTCCCAGGTTCAAGCAATTCTCCTGCCTCAGCCTCCCAAGTTGCCGGAATTACAGGCCCCCGCCACGACACCCGGCTAATTTTGTGAATTTTTAGTAGAGACAGAGTTTCGCCATGTTGGCCAGGCTGGTCTCAAACTCCTGACCTCAGGCGATCCACCCGCCTTGGCCTCCAAAGTGCTGGGATTACAGGCGTGAGCCACCGCACCTGGCCATATTACGTTTAATTTTATAACCTAAAAATGTGTGGGCCAGGCGCAGTGGCTCACGCCTGTAATCCCAACACTTTGGGAGGCCGAGGCGGGCAGATCATCTGAGGTCAGGAGTTCAAGACCAGCCTGGCCAACACAGTAAAACCCCGTCTCTACAAAAAAATACAAAATTAGCTGGGCATGATGGCAGGTGCCTGTAATCCCAGCTACTTGGGAGACTGAGGCAGGAGAATCGCTTGAATCTGGGAGGCGGAGGTTGCAGTGAGCCGAGATCACGCCACTGCACTCCAACCTGGGAGACAGAGCAAGACTACGTCTCTCTCAAAAGATTTAAAAAAAAAAAGGTCAGGCGCAGTGGCTCACGCCTATAATCCCAGCACTTTGGGAGGCTGAGGCGGGCAGATCACTTGAGGTCAGGAATTCGAGACCAGCCTGAACAACATGCTGAAACCCTGTCTCTACTAAAAATACAAAAATTAGCCAGGTGTTGTAGCAGGCGCCTGTAGTCCCAGATACTCGAGAGGCCAAGGCAGGAGAATCACTTGAACCTGAGAGGTGGAGGTTGCAGTGAGCTGAGATTGCGCCATTGCACTCCAGCCTGGGTGTCAGAGCGAGACTCCATCTCAAAAAAAAAAGTTGTGATAATTTGTTTTCTCTTGGTATTTAAATGCCTACATGGTACCCTTTGATTTTACCTCTTATCAGCAAATCATAAAATATTTACTATCTGACTCTTTACAGAAAAAGTTTGTGGACCCTTGAAATGGACACTCATATTTCCATTTTCGGGGTCAGGAAACTGTGGCACACAGAGGTTATGAAATATGCCTATACTTGCAAGGCCCATCCGTGGTAACACTGCGATTTAAACCTGGGCATCCTGGCTTTAGACTCTGTGCTCCTAAAGCACACTGCCTTCCACACCTTTCTGCCCACCTATGACTCCTAACACCTCACCGCCACCAGTGACTTACGTGCCTGTAGAATCTACTGCCACAGCCCGGACCCCACCACGATGACAGAGAATCTTTGCCAGTGGCTCCTTCATAGCTGGACTCCATAAAGACGCAGTACCTGGAAGAGAAGAAGAACCAAAGTTGCTAATACACACCTAAGCCTGAGGTTACTAAACATGGGAAAGATGGGAACTCAAGACCAAGAGATAACAAAAAAGGGAAATAAAAGGGTAACTTTAAGGGACTCATGAAGTACAAATATAGAAGAAAAGCAAGTCAGGATGGTCAGAGTCAAAACTAAGCCAGGTACTGACCATTGCTGTGTCCGAGATGGATGACGGCATTGTAAGGGTTCTGACTCATAACATCGAGCCGCCCAGCTCGAGCATTCAGAGCTGCCACAATCTTCCCCACTGACACATCCAGGTAGGTTAGAAACCCTGTTTCTGACTGAGAGAGAAAGACAGAGAGAATGACCCAGTCCTGATTGCCCTCTGTATTCCCTCTGCTGGGGTCCTAAAGGAGAGGTGGTCATCCCAAGGGCTTCCACCCAGTTCCTGAGCTCCATGGCCACTCACAGCTGTAGCCAGGAGGAAGTGGAAGGGCAGGAACTCAAGCCGTGTTACTCGGTCACAGCGGCGGATACAGTGGAGCTCAATGCCCTGATTGTCATAGATGTGGAGCCAGCGGTTCTGAGCAACAGCAAGCAGTGCCTCAGAATGGAGAAACCTGGGGGAGAGGAAGAGTGGTTCAATTGGGAAATGAGGTCACAGGCTATCATTCAATCAGGAATGGACTATCTCACCCCAACTGACTGCTGACAGTGAGGCCACTGACCGGATGTCCCGCACCGCCTCCATGACGTTGATCTCGCACATAAGCTTCTTTGTTACCCAATCAAGGGCAGCCACATGACCTCGGCGCCCTCCAAAAGCCAGGTGTCTGTTGGAGGTGAGGGGCAGGCAGGGTGTTAAGGCAGGGGACCACCGACTCAGACAACTTGAGGTCTGCCCCACGCCAGCCCCATCTCTCCAGGCGGGCAGACACATGTTGCTGTAGGTGCTTACCCTCACACCCAAGCAAATCGAAGGACCCTCCCCTCATCAGCAACCCAAACATACACTGGGAATGGCTGAAGTGGTTAAGGAAACACATCTTAGTTCAAGAGTCACTAGAATTCAACCTTACCTTCCAGTTCGAGAGTAGTTTAGTCTGTAGGGTCCAAACTGCCGCAGATTCAAGTCAAAGTGCTGGGAAAGAGAAGAGTGAAAAAAAAGAGTGCCCTGCAGTAACGCCTTCTTCTAGCCCCCATTCCTCTATTGTCCTGCACCACCAATCAATCCCTTGGCTCCTTTACCTCCTCAGGCTCACCTTGGCTGCACTTGCAATGTCCACAGCCTCCACAATGTCAGCCTGGCATATCTTTGCTGTGTCTTCCCCATCCTCCCCTTCCAGAAACCTGAAAGCAAGGGTTAGGATGGCAGTAAAGCTTCCCAATATGAAGCAAGTATACCAACATAAAAACGAGAAAAGACAGTCCCATAAGGCAGGGAATGGGGGTCCAGATTAGGGCTCACTCACCCAGGTTCTTCAGCAAGCAGCAGCTCAGAACGAGCAGCTTTGATACTTGTTTCCTCTTCCTCAGCTTCAGCCACCTCAAGTCGGCTTCGAGTTTTGGCTTTAGAATGTGGTAGCTGTAACATTGTTGGTGGGGAGGAGTGGCAGAAGAACCACAGGATAAGTGGGGTCACAGGAGAGCTACCTGTCCCAGCCTCCATCCAACTCACCCAGACACTCCCTGCCTCCAGCACTTCCCAACTCTCCGGCTGGACCTCACCTTTCGAGATTTGTCAATGCGACAGAACTTCTGGACCACTTCCACAGGGACGGGGGCGGGGCCTGGGAATGGATCTTGGGCCTAGGGGAAAGGAGGACGCAATTAGCAGACAGCCTTGGATTGACCCCAACCCTCTCACTCTCCAGGAACGAGGCGGCCTGCCTCGCCACCCATCAGGTCCCACGCTCACCCCGGACAAGCCGCGCTGGGACTCCGGGTTCTTCCATTCTCGGGGTTTCTTCGGGACCTGAGGCTTCTTAGAGATCCGAGACTTCTTTAAGATGTAAGCATTTTTTGGTCTCTGAGGACGGAGCTCCCGATTCTTCTTGTTACGAGGAGGCCCTGGAGAGGCTCCGGCTGTGGTCGGAACGGTCTCTTCCTCCCAGTATCGCCGCGGTTTCTACAGGCACATCAGGAACTCCGCACTCACGCCCCGCCCCCCGACCCCACAGCTAAAAACTTCGTTTCCCACCCAGGGAGGCCTCTACCTTTCTCTTGGTCTGAAGTTTGTCTTTCTTGGGCGGGACATCCTTGCCCGGCTTGGGGGCTGTCTCCATCTCGCCCACCCGAACGGCGATCCACGTGCAAAACTCTTCTCAGCTGCCACACAGTCGGCTTGAAAACTCCCGGAAGCCCTCTGTCCTTCATCCAATCAGCAGCGTACCAGGTATGAAGCTCTCTAGGTGCCATCTTGAGTGAGGGCACGCTCTCCTTAGAGGGGCGGAACAGTTTTTGGCACCTTATCGCGAGCGGCAGCTTATGCAAGAGTGACTTAAAAAAGAAAGGCAGGTCCGGGGCCAGGGGCTAAGTAGCGGTGCGGTTTCTTTTTCTGGATTAGTTTCCCCATCTTGCCTAAAAATGTCCTAGTCTAGTCTTTTTAGCAGAACTCCACTCCCTAAACATGTCAGAACTACACTTCCCATCAAGGGTCAGAAAGAAACTTCCGGCACAGTCTTTTCCCAGCATTCCTTGTTTACTTCCGGGTTTATTACTACTGAAGGAAGAACGTGAGTAGGTTAGGATTTCGGTTGAGAGGCTTGGGGTCTTGCGTTTCGCCCACCATCTCCTGGGGACAGGGTGGAGTCGATATCCGGGACGGGGGGGAGGTTGCGGTGCCCCTCAGGGCTACCTCTCAAGAGTGCTATCATTTCCGCAGGCCAGATCAGAAAAGGGAGCTCAGGTACCTTCCAGAGAGTGAGACCCAGCGCCCTTGTCTCGCACCCAGTAGGCTTTCATCCCCGCCATGGCGGAGCTGATCCAGAAGAAGCTACAGGGAGAAGTGGAGAAATATCAACAGCTACAGAAGGGTAAGGGAACAGGGTCGGTATGGTCTCGCCCAATGCACTTACAACCCAAAGCCATTACCGAGATAAGGTTTGTTGCCCCATCTGGGCCCTCGCGTGCAGAGACTTCCCCGCCTCAGTCTCAGTACTCTTCCCTGTTCACTCACCCGCTGCCCCCATCCTTTTCTGCTTCCTCAGATCCATATCCACCTGACTAGGATTGTGGGGATAGGTGGCACATTTGATGTTTCTAAATTGCCTTTCCTCTCATCCCCAGACTTAAGTAAATCCATGTCGGGGAGGCAGAAACTTGAAGCACAACTAACAGAAAATAATATCGTGAAAGAGGTGAGGGACTGGGATTTGTGGGGCGAGGAGGGACCTGTACTAGCCATGGTTCTGATCACATATGTCCCATCCCTCCATCAGGAACTGGCCCTGCTGGATGGGTCCAACGTGGTCTTTAAACTTCTGGGTCCGGTGCTAGTCAAACAGGAGCTGGGGGAGGCTCGGGCCACAGTAGGGAAGAGGCTGGACTATATCACAGCTGAAATGTGAGTTTTTATTCCACCACCGTGTGCTGCACCCTGTGATGCAAGTGAACCATTGGAGTAGAGGTGTTGAACCATTGCAGAACAGCTCTCCATAGTGGCCCCTAGTCCTCCAGTTCCTCCAACCCTTTCCTTCCCTTTTAACCCCCCTTCTTCTCCCTCCCCTGGATCTCAAGTTTTCCACCTATCTCTTTCTTGCGTTTAGCACTCTCCATAGTAAGTCCTACTAATTTCTCCCTTTCTGCTTGTCTCCCTTGTCTCTCCTTAGTAAGCGATACGAATCCCAGCTTCGGGATCTTGAGCGGCAGTCAGAGCAACAGAGGGAGACCCTTGCTCAGCTGCAGCAGGAGTTCCAGCGGGCCCAGGCAGCAAAGGCAGGGGCTCCTGGCAAGGCCTGACCCCATGGTGGGGGGAGGGGAGGGGAGGGGAGGGAATGAGGCAGCTCTAGGATCTATACTGTAGCTAATAAAATGTAAAAACACCTGGCTCTGTTTCCTGACCAGGCACTTCTGTCATATCCCCACAGCCCCTTCCACCTTAACACACACCACCTGTATTACCCCCTCAGGTTCAAACTCTTGCACTTGGAATCTCTTTGTGGCACAGTGTTCTTTCTTGAAAGTGAAATCCTAAATGTCTTCAAACCTACTTCTTGCCTGTATATACAACCCTTAACTCTCCCTCATCTTGGTTGGCATGATTCTTTTGGAAGGGCATTTGCAACATACCATATTGCTAGGAATGTCGGTTTAATTGAAAAAGAATACACAGTTCTCTAACCTGAGGCCCCAGGATGAAATGTGGTTACCCTCCTTGCCAACAGCCCTGGCATCTCTATTAGTACTTTTCAGCCTCTGTCTTCCTAGAATTTGCTTGAATGTAGCTTTAAACTGACTTAAAATCCCAGCATGTAATGCTTTATGGTATTATAAGTCCTCCCAAGTTTATATGTTGTCCATAAAGTTGTTCTGCCATTTCCTTGTCCTAAAATTGTTTTATACACATTTGCAGCAAGGGACCAGTGGTAGAGAGGTTACTGGAGAGAAACTGTTCTGAGGAAACTTTTTTCACCAATACCTCACTTTTTGCTCTGTTCATGGGGACAGAAAACATTGTGCCCCTTCCTGTTCCATGGCATCTACCTTCAGCCAATTCCCCACCCCCACTCATAGCAGCCAGTTCATATGTACTGCAAGGACAGGGGAGTAGAATTCAGGTAGTGTTTTGGTTTATTATCTTAGTGTTGTCACAGTGATAGAAACCCCCAGAGTGGGAAGAAGAGCTCCTGCGAGGACCTACATTTTGCCATTCCCCTCTGCCCTGGGGCTCAGAGCCTTGAAGCCTTTGCTTGGCCCTTGCATGTTAGGATATGGCCAAGAATCAGAAACTGATGCGTTTTTCCAGCACTACCTGTGTGCTGCACTCATGGAAGGTGGGAAGCTATACACAGGTATCCAACTTGGTTATAAGACACCAGTTCCCACAGGGCTGGATTTCTCAGCTGTCTGGTAAACCAGTGGCACTTCACTGCCCCAGGGTGGCTGGCTCCCTTTCTGAATTTCTGTCTCAATGTGATATAATTGCCACCATTCAGGATGGCTACCCACATCTGGTATGAACACCATGACTTCTGTAAGCCAACGGGGCTTCCTCCTCAGAACAGTGCCCGTGCAATCTTCCTCCCTGTGGCCTTGATCCTGGGAAAGGAGCCCCCTCCTCCCTCACTCGGAGGAGTTCCTGAGGCAGACGGGCCACTGGTGACGCCAGGTGTAGCAGTAGAGGACCTTCGCCGCTGCCGCAGGAGGAAATCGTGTGAAGCTCCATCCATGGCGTAGAATACATTAGCCGAGGCTGGGATAGTCAGCTCTGAAGGTTCAGGGGATGGATGTAAAGCACACACACAGTTGTTCCCCCCACAGCCGCCCAGATGTGGAAGTACTCCACTCTCCTCCCGAGTCTGCCCCCTCATGGCCTCTGACCTCGCTCCCCTGGTAGCAGCTGTACCAGCTCATACTCTGAAGCCACTGCAGAGTCACGATTGTTTTTCTTAAGGACACGACTGATGACACTTGGAGCCTTGTCCTGGCTTGTCACCTGGCAGAACAGGAGACCAAAAGAGCAATCAATCAGCCATGATTTCCCATCCTTCTACCCTCAGCCACTGAACCCAACCACAAAATGTTACTTGTGTCCAAGGCTTTAAAATGAACAGGAAAACCCAATATGGTGGCTTCCTATACCCCATAAGCCAGCCCACATGGTGCCCAGTGAAACAGAGCTGCTTCCCTGTGGGGAAACTGCTGTTGATTCTGAAATTTTAACACGGCGACCAAAAGTTTAAGGTGTAGCAACTAATGCAAAATAGCCATCAAAATAAAACAAATTTCAGCTTCTATTGAAGACTAGAGTTTAGAAGATAAAATTAAAAATAAAACATAACTGCCAAAACCAAAGGTCAAAATTAAAACTACATTCAATTCCATTTGGCTGCCCAAACCTCAGACAACATTTATAGTCCAACAAGACACCATCCTTCACCCCAACTCCATCCCAAGGCTCCCTCACCAAAATGCTCTTATAGACACTGCCATCTTCCCCCAACTCCATCTGGACTCGGATGATACGGCAATCAGAGGCCCCTGGCCCAGATCCCTCTCCCCCATATCCAGTCCCCCCGGAGGCCTCTTCTGCACCCCCACTCAGCGGGGAGCCACAGGAGGCTGAGCGGCGGTGACCTCGAGAAGGCCTAGGGGAGGAGGCTGGTGGGGAGAGGTGGCTGGGGTCAGCTGGACTGTGCAGGGATGGACTGCTTTCCAAGGCAGAGTCTAGTGACGAGACAGATGGCCACTTCATGTGCTAGGAACAAACAACATGGGACTGGCATGAAGGCAGGGAGGTTTAAGGAAGAAACATTTACAGAGTGAGGGTCAGCGTCAAGGTCAGAGTCAGGAGCAGAGCTCACCTGGGCCAGCCGAGTCAGCAGAGGAGCAGGAGTTGTAGGCGCCTCATCTCCCCCAGTACTGGGCCGGTCACAGGACACAAGCGGGGTAGGGACCCCAACAGAGCCCAAAACCCTGCAGTGGCAGGAGATTGGGAGGATCAGAGAAAAGTGGAAGTCCCAAGAAACCACCCCCCAGCCAGTGAATCTCTCACTCTGTCCACTGCGAGATGACCAATGTTGGCCGAAGCACCCGTGGGGCAGGAGGGTCACTGGAACCAGGTGGCTCCACCTCACAGGATACACGATGGCTGGGTTAGGGGGGCAATAGGCAGAGCTCAGGACATGACACCAATCCCCCACACCTGGCCAGAACCCTGGAGTCCCAACCTCACCCGCCAGTCACCTCTGAGCCTCTGTCAGTGGCCGGAGCCCCTGTAGCCACCTCTGGATATCATGGTCAGGTTGGAGGTTATAGCCACGACATTCATTCTGGAGCCGTCGCAACTCAGAAAGGACTGCAAACTCCTGGGAAGGAGCCCTCAAACTGCAGGAGCCAAAACTCAGGGACCCCTGACTTTTCCCCCTCCCCTTCCTGGAACATGGATAGGGAAGTCCAGCATCCAGCCCAGACACTCCGCTCACCTTCCTCCGCTTGTCAAAATTGATGTATCCATTCTGCGAGGAAAATGGGGATGGGGTGAAAGTTCCAACCCTACCTTCCGGCCACAGAGAGAGAATATCCCCTCTCTTAAACACACACAGCCACATCCAACTCACAACCACTTCCCTCCAGCCTCTCTGACTCTTCGATCCCTCCCTGCCTTCCTCCTCAATCTATCATGGCCTAAGCACTCCACTTGACCCTTTAAATTGAATTTCTCAGGTAGACAACGAGTCTGCTTTGCAGATGAGAGGACTGGATAGTATCCAATTCGACAGGATTCCTTATCCAGAGAGGATAAGGAACTTGTCCAAGGTCTCAGTATTTGTTTATTTAACAAACTCTAGCAATAGAGCAGGAGCCCATCACAAAACCTAGATGTGCTTACGTTTCAGGCACGTTCTAAGCACTTGACAAATACAAATTCATTTAACCCTTATAACAGATCAATGTAGATGCTATTTCTAGTTTCCCATTTACAGATCACTGAGGCGACTTGGCACAGAAACAGATCTGGCTCTGTCCCACACTCAGCTATTTGTGCCTTACAGCCCCTTGCAAGGGGCGGGGGGGTCTGTCCGACCCTGCAGCCCACTTGTTACATCATTGCAATGACACACACACACACCACTGACCTCCAACTCATCCTTGGAGGCTGCATCCAGCATCACAAGGTCCTTCAGGAAGGTGCCAAGGTATGGGACCACACCCTGAAGTCAGGGGTCAGGGTCAGAAGTGCCTGCCATTGACGTGAGGGCCCTCCATCCCTCCGCACTTGCCCTCCTCATTGCCTCAGAGAACAGATTTCATTCTCCTCACCCCTCTGTGCCTCCCTTACCCATCCTTCAGGCTGCTCCCCCAAAACATACTCCTCACCCCTTCATAATCACCACCCCCACGCCCACCACCCCGCTAGTCACTCACCCCACCCCGGGAGCCAGACCTCGGGGCCTTCTTGGAGTGTGGCTCCAGAGGAGACTGCAGCTTCACCTCCTGGTGGTGACAAAATAAAAGAGACATGGGGGAGCAGTAGGGAACAAGGAGAGGTGGGAATGCCACAAACCAGGCTCTCACCTGCACGAGCAGCTCCCGACTCTGGGAATAATTATCCTCCTCGGAGAAAATCTGGCAGAGGCTGGAAAAGACTCTGAGGCTGTCCCTGGGGAAGGGAGAAAAGTGGCCCTGAGGACAGGCCTGGCTCTGTCACCCCCTCTTCCCCGCCTTCTGAGGAACCCCCACCCCAGTCCAATGCCTCAGCCTCCGCACCTGGTTGCTTCCCCCCAGGCTGCCCGAAGCCTGTGGATGGGGCTGGACTGCAGGGCTGACACCACGGCATAAACTGAAGAGAAGTTTCGGAGCAGCCGGCACTCCTGTGGGGGTCAAAGAAGAGAGCTAAGGCTATGGGAGGCCTCTCCATTCCATGGCCACAAACCGTAGGGCAATCTTCTCTCTCACCTCTGCCACGCGGATCCACTTCTCCAGGAGCCGGGCCCTCTGTGGGGGACGGAGTGGCCGTATGGTCACCTCCCCAGGTCCCTCTCCAGTGGAAGTAGCCCCCAGGACAGAACTAACCACTGCCCCTGCCACCTTGTTAAACTGTGTGACAGTAGCTCGGACAGATGGGCAGAGGTGAGAATGTCCTGGCCGGTCTCTGTGACCCCACAGGCCTCCCAGGCACTGAGAGGGGATCAAATTGAGAAAAAGTTCCTGCAGGGTAGAGGTCAGAGGTTAAAGTTCATAGTCAAGTGAGGTCAGCCTTCCAATATCAGGGATCTGAGGATCTCAGGTGGCCAAGGAACCAGAGGGGCACAGGGTTTGAAGGGTAACGACCAAAGGGAAAAGGGGAGAATCAAAATGGTAGGTGGAGGAGGCTAGGAGCTGGATCAGGAAGGGGTGGAAGCAAGGAAAGGATCTGGAGTCAAGGAGAGGTTAGTAAGGGGTCAGGGGGCATAGGGGCCAGAGGTCAGGGTCTCACCGCATCTAGCAGGGTCAGCTGTTCGGCCAAGTGGTCAGCGAGGAACACCAGGACATCCGTGGGGTCAGCAGGGGGATCGCCGGGGAGGGCCAGGGGCTTAGGAAGGTCGGGGGCCTGGGGGTCCACCCGGGACCGGAGATTGCGGATGAGGTCAGCGCTGCCCCCCCCAACACCCTTCCCTGCTGCATACCCTGTCTGAAGTAAGAAGCTCTCAAGCCGGTCAAGCTGACCCTTGGCCTCAGAGCCAAAATCCTCAGGGTGAGAGGCCAGCCAGGTTGACAGTACAGAGATGGCTACCCTGGGAGAAGGGAATCAGCCAAGGGTGAGAGGTAAAGCTGCAGCCTGGGCAGAGGGGACTGTGAGATTAAGAACCAGGGGTCACTCACTCTGTTGTCCTCTCTAGTTCGTCGGTAGGATGAGATTCAAGGGCTTCCAGCCTGAGGGGGAGAAGAGGATCTATCTGTCCATTTTTCCCAAACCCTCAGTGGCTTTGACTATTTTGGTGGGATGTTGCGGCTTTAGGAAATCCGGGCAGATACTCCACTACCCTGCGTCCCTTATGACTCTGACCTGTCAGCCATAAGCCCTAGCAAGGCAGGCGTGGAGGTGAAGGCCCGGTGGGTAGCCAGGAAGGCTGACATGAAGCTCACATCAGTCCCTGATGTCCGGGTATCCAGTAGGTGTCTGACCAGGGCCTCCAGAGTGCCAGCTCGGAGCCGTCGGGAGGAACGTGGGGGAGGCATAGGGACCTGGAGAACACAGAGAGATGATCGCTAACCCTTTCTCCCACTCTGCACCTAGATTTCTGAGGACAATCCCAGACCCAGGAGATGTTCCAGACTCATTTTTCTGATATTCAGAGAGGGCAAGAGTCTTGGCCTATGTCACACAGCAGAGTCCAGGACTCCAGAACTCCAACCTAGCACTCTGGCCAGAAAGTCAGCCAGAGGAAGGAAAACTGGGAATGAAGAGTCAGAGGTGAGAAGCTAAAGTCATGATCTCACCAAGGGATCAAGAGGTCGATATTGGCGGCTTGTGACGGTAAACACGGCACCATCCTCCTCCTCATCCCAGACGGACACAGGGGCCTGGAGGAGCAAGGAAGGGGAAGTCAGACAGTTCCACACCACCCCCCATTGCCCTCAGCCTTCACCCCAGGCCCTGCTCCTCCCTCTGTACCCCTCACCTGTGGTGGCAGGGCATAGTACCAGCGAGTGCGAGGAAGGGTTGGGGGAGCTGGTGACCCCAGGTCTCCCCCACTGGGGCCCAGACAGCCCCACCCCAGCCGCCTCAGGGCCCCGGTGGAGTCGAAGGGGCTGCAGTGGAGGCGTGGATGGAGTACAGGAATTCTGATCCTGGAGACCCCCAAAGCCCCTTCTCCCCAGAGCTGAACCCACACACGACAGAGAAGCAGGGTACAAAGGGCAGGAGAGGGAAGCGAGAGGCAGCAAGCCAGAGGCAGCGACTAGGGGTAGCTGAAACCTCAGTCCAGGCACTGCCGCATGCCCCGCCCCTCCCGGCCAAGGACTATACCAGCCCAGAGAATTAGTCTTTTTCAGGACCCCTTTCACCCTGGTCCCTCGGGTAGCGCCTCCACTATCTCAGCCCTAAGGGACCCCCGAAGGTAGCAGCTCCAATCCCAGTACAGGAAGGAAAAGGGGAAGTGGGATGATAGGGGGTTGGGGGCGGTAGACTCAGAGAGTCACGTGGCCCCAGCCCCTCCCCCGACCGATCCCGAAAAACCAGCCCTGCCAGTCAACCTGCCCTCACCTAGGATCTGGACCTAGGAGTTTAGGGCCTCGGGGCCCCAAATCCAAATTCTGGCCCCTCCTGAGGCCCGAAATCCTGCTCCTGGCCACCACCATTAATCCCTAATGAAAACAGATGACCACTCTCTACCCACCCTAGGATCTTTCCTCCAGGTCCCAGAACCGTGGCTTCCCGGCCTCTACCCAGGACCGGGGCGGGGCGGGGGGGCGGGGGGAAGGGGGAGAGAGGGAAGGAGGGGTCACGAAATCTGAGGGTTCCCTCCCCAATCCCAGAGTCAGAGGAGCTGGTTACTGTGGAAACAAACCCCTCCCCGCCAAACAAAAACAAGGAGGGAGACAGGGACCAAGACACGACTGCTCAGAGAGGTAGGCACACTCAGGCAGGCAGAGGTGGAGGGCCAAAGACCCGCAGGGACAGGACAGCCAGCCAGAAGTTCCAGGCAGGAACAGGGCAGGTTCCTGCGGGCAGGTCCTGAGTCACACTGACAGAGAACCACGGAGACGCCAGGACTCCCCGCAGCAGAGAAACGGGCCGACACCCAGGGAGGCGCGAGAATAACTGAGGCAAGGAGGAGGAGATGTAGGGACCCAGAGACAAGAGAAAAGTGGAGACTTCAGAAATACATACGCCCCCTACCTCCCACCACCCGCGTCTCACCTCTTCTTCTTCCTCCTCCTCTTCCTCCTGCCCCCCGCCCACGACCAGGCCACCTGGGCCCCCACCCTCTTCGGGGTCCCGGCTTCGGAAGCTGCTCAGTACGACTCCCCCGGGGGGGCTCGTGTCCAAAAGCAGCCGCAGGGGCCGCGGGAGCATGGCCGAGTGAAGGAATCAGCGGGGTCGGGCCATGGGGGCGCCTGGGGAGAGACGGGGTGGGGTGGGGGTGGAGAGTCAGGCAGGCGCGGGGGAACCGGGCAGGGAAGGGACGTGGGTGGGTGTCAAGAAGACCGGAAGGGAGTTCTGCAGGAAGGTTGGGGGAGGGGGCAACAGAAGGGTGGAATAGGGGGGCCCTTGGTGCTGTTGGGGAAGGAGGAGGTCACGAGTACGGGGACGCGCAGGGTGCTCAGGCTCTGACCTGCTCGGGAGGGGTGGGGGCAGCGTGGGTCCTGAGCCGCTGTTGCCGTCGGTCTCCGGCCCCGGACCGAGTCCCCTCCCCGGCTTTTCCGTACCCCCTTGAACCCCCCCGCCGGGCTCCTGGGCCCTCCCGCCCTTTCCGCTCCCCCCCGCGTCCGCCCGCTCCGAGAGCAGGAGCCAAAAGGGGAAGGAAGTGAGGACAGGAGCCAGGGCCGCGGACTAGGGGAGCGCTGGACGCTCAGGGACCAGGACCCAGGCGCCCGAGTCCCCAGCTCCACTGTCCTCCGCCTCTACACTCGGGGATTCTGGAGACCACGTCGACCCGCAATGAACTGGAATAAAGATTCCAGTCTCCAGCCCCTGGGGGAAGGCAGGAGCAGAATTTGACATTCCCTTCCCCAACAATAACACGGCTAAAACTCCCGCGGGAAGCGTTTCAGGCGGAGAGAGAGCCGGTTACTCCATCCCCACGGGATTACCCTCCCTACCACAACCCACGAATGTAGCTGACCGAAATCCCGGCCGGGTTTTCCGAAGGGCCCTCGATTCCCGCCCCCTCGGCAGGGGGCGGGGCAGGAAGCAGCCACATCCGGTTCCAGATTCGGCTCTCAGAGGCTTCCGGCGCCGAGACCGAGATCCCCGTCGGCTCGGTGTATCCTCGCTGGTGGAGTACCCTCTGCTTGAGCGCATCTCATGCGCCAGTAGTGGCGCCCGCCCCGAACGGTGTCGACGGGGCGTTCTCTGAGCGGTTCAGGGTCACTGGAAGGGACCAGAGGTGATTGGAATATTCATTGAGCTTGGAAAGGGGTTGGAATGAGAGAACCGTTTGGAAGCACTGGAATACAGCTTTATTCCTACACGATTAGACCCGTTACCCCGTGGGTCTGGCCGACCGTCCTGACTCGGAGATCCCTGAGCTGCGCCGCCGCTTCCTTCGTCAACATCCAGCAGCTACTTGATGAGCGCCCTCCAGTGGGCCTTAGGTCCCTATGCCGGCGCGGGGTTACAGCAGTGGACAGACAGGCCGGTCCCTGTCCTCGAGGAGCCCATGATCCGCGGGGAGACAGGCATTTAACGACGACTCACACGATCACTTAAATACAACTGTGGTGAACCGCACAAGAGGGACGCGCGGCGGTCTGCGGGGAATGACGAGGCCGACCTCGTCTGCGACCCAGGGAGGGCAAGGGTGGACCAGGCAAAGGGAACAGAGGACTGGGACCTGGAGGTGGGCGGGAGGCGTTTGGTTCATTGGAGGAAAGGAATAGCCCTGTGTGTGATGAGCATTGAGAGGAGGTCTGGCGAGCACCATCTAGGGCTGAAGAACTAGGCAGTGGCTCCAGCGCGGGGCGGTGGGGGGGACAAGTGAGCCAGGGCAAGAAGAATGGATTTGGCCCTAGAGTACGGGTTCTCCAAATGTAACCTCGGCCCTACAGATCTCTGAGACTATGTCAGGGGGTTTGTGAGATTTTATAACAAAATTAAGATGTTAGTACAATATCGTGTTTCGCCGCCGGGCGCGGTGGCTCACGCCTGTAATCCCAGCACTTTGGGAGGCCGAGGCGGGCAGATCACAAGGTCAGGAGATCGAGACCATCCTGGCTAACACGGTGAAACCCCGTCTCTACTAAAAACACAAAAAGTTAGCCGGGCGTGGTGGCGGGCCCCTGTAGTCCCAGCTACTCGGGAAGCTGAGGCAGGAGAATGGCGTGAACCCGGGAGGCGGAGCGTGCCGTGAGCCGAGATCGTGCCACTGCACTCCAGCCTGGGCAACAGAGCGAGACTCTGTCTCAGAAAAAAAGAAAAAAAGAAAGATTATTTGCAGCCGGGCGCGGTGGCTCACGCGGGTAATCCCAATACTTTGGGAGGCCGAGGCGGGCGGATCACCAGGTTAGGAGATCGAGACCATCCTGGCTAACACGGTGAAACCCCGTCTCTACTAAAAAATACAAAATATTAGCCAGGCATGGTGGAGGACGCCTGTAGTCCGAGCTACTTGGGAGGCTGAGGCAGGAGAATGGCGTGAACCCGAGAGGCGGAGCTTGCAGTGAGCCGAGATCGCGCCACTGCACTCCAGCCTGGGCGACAGAGCGAGACTCCGTCTCAAAAAAAAAAAAAAAAAAGTTTTTTGCCTTCTTCATTCTATAAGTGTACAGTGGAGTTTTTCAGAAGCTACATGATATGTATTGACACCATGGTTCCCACGATGAATAGAATGTGTGCCTATGTATTCTCGTGTTTTAAATTTTTCTCACTTTTAAGTTCTAGTACCATAAATATTGATAGCTATAACCCACATACCCAAAAGCTTTTTGGGGTCCTTGATGATTTTTAAGAGGTCCTGAGAGAAAAAAATTTTGAGAACCACTGTCCTAGAGCTCCAAGAAGGTGAATGCCATAAGATGTGTGTTTTTTAAAAAAGCATTTCTCGGGCCTGGTGTGGTGGCTCACGCCTGTAATCCCAGCACTTTGGGAGGCTGAGGTGGGCAGATCACCTGAGGTCAGGAATTCAAGACCAGCCTGGCCAACATGGTGAAACCCCGTCTCTACTAAAAATACAAAAATTCACTGGGTGTGGTGGCATGTGCCTGTAATCCCAGCTACTCCGGAGGCTGAAGCCACAGAATTGCTTGAACCCAGGAGGCGGAGGTTGCAGTAAGCCAAGATCATGCCACTGCACTGCAGCCTGGGCGGAAGAGTGAGACTCCGTCTCAAAAAAAAAAAAAAAGAAAAATTATCCCTTATATAAGTGAAAGAAAAAAAAAAAAGCATTCCAGCCACTCAGTGGAGAGAGATTGGAGGGATTAGGAGCAGATGATAGGGTATTATTTTAGGGAGCTACTACAGAAGCTTGGGCCAGAGATGATGGTGGCTTCCACAGGATGGCAGTGAGTGCCCTCACTCTGCTTTCTGGAAGAGAGGAAGGTGGTGAGGAATTCAGGATATTAAAAGGCAGTTGAGGTGTACATGGTCAGTTTAGAGACATATAAACTATCATGGGCACAGATGATGGGAGAAGGATGAGGCTAATATTTTCTGCCCTCCAGACACTGTGCTGAGTGCTGTATCTCCTGCATCTTCTTAAGGAGATACACTGTCTTCCTTAATCCTCCTAAAAGTCCTCTCAGGCTCCGCTGTCCAATATGACAGCCACCACCCACATTAGGCTATTGAGCATTTGATATGTGGCTAGTCCGAATTGAGATGTGCTGACTATTTAAAATAAACACCTGTGTTTGAATACTTAAGGTGAGAAAAGGGCTGCAATTTATTTTCTTTTCTTTCTTTTTTTTTTTTTTTTTTTGAGACAGGGTCTCACTTTGTCACCCAGGCTGGAGTACAGTGGGACAACCTTAGCTCATTGCAGCCTCACCCTCCCAGATTCAAGCGATCCTTCTGCCACAGCTCCCCAAGTAGCTGGGACTATAGCTGTGTGCCACCATGCCCAGCTAATTTGTTTTGTTTTGTTTTGTTTTGTTTTTTGAGACAGAGCCTCACTCTGTTGCCCAGGCTGGAGTGCAGTGGTGCGATCTCGGCTCACTGCAACCTCCACCTCCCAGGTTCAAGCAATTCTCCTGCCTCAGCCTCCTGAGTAGCTGAGATTACAGGTGTGCACCACCATGCCCGGCTAATTTTTCTGTATTTTTAGTAGAGACGGGGTTTCACCATGTTGGCCAGGCTGGTCTTGAACTCCTGACCTCAGGTGATCCGCCCTCCTCAGCCTCCCAAAGTGCTAGGATTACAGGCGTGAACCAACGCACCTGGCCAAGACTGTAATTTCTTTTTCTTTTTTTTTTTGTTGTTGAGACGAAGTTTTCCTTTTGTCACCCAGGCTGGAGTGCAATGGTGTGATCTCAGCTCACTGCAACCTCTGCCTCCCAGGTTCAAGCGATTCTCCTGCCCCAGTCTCCCGAGTAGCTGGGATTACAGGTGCCGTCACATCTGGCTAATTTTTTGTATTTTTAGTAGAGATGGGGTTTCATCATGTTGGCTAAGCTGGTCTTGAACTCCTGACCTCAGGTGATCCTCCCGCCTCGGCCTCCCGAAGTGCAGGGATTACAGGCATGAGCCATCGCACCCGGCCTGTAATTTCTTATATTGTTTACATGTTGCAATAATATTTTGGATGTACAGGTTGAGCATCGCCGATCCAAAACTCTAAAATCTGAAATGTTCCAAAACCTGAAATTTTTTTAGTGCCAACATGATGCCACAAGTGGAAAATCCCACAGCTGCCCTCATGTGATGGGTCACATATATTATTAAAAATATTGTGGTCGGGTGCAGCGGTTCACACCTGTAATCCCAACGCTTTGGGAGGCCAAGGCAGCGGGCGGATCACCTGAGGTCGGGAGTTCGAGACCAGCCTGACCAACATGGTGAAACCCCGTCTCTACTAAAAATACAAAAATTAGCCAGGCGTGGTGGTGGGTGCCTGTAATCCCAACTACTCGGGAGGCTAAGGCAGGAGAATCGCTTGAACCTGGGAGGTGGAGGTTGCAGTGAGCCGAGATCGCACCATTGCACCCCAGCCTGGGCGACAGAGACTCTGTCTCAAAAAAAAAGAGAAGGAAAAAAATCTTCAGGCCATGTGTATAAGGTGTATAGGAAACATAAATGATTTCTGTGTTTAGATTTGGGTCTGATCCCAAAGATATTAAATATATGCAAATATTCCAAAGTCTGAAAAAATCCAACATCCAAAAACACTTCTGACCCAAGCATTTCAGATAAGGGACCAGAATTATTAGATTAAATAAGGTATATTATTAAGTTAATTTTACCTGTTTCTGCTTATTTTTTTAATGTGAGTACTAGAGTATTTAAATTTACATATGTGGCTTGCATTATCTTTCTATTGGACAGCACTGCCTAAGTAACTTTTTAAAATCCCTACACCCAAGGAAACATATAGATTAAGTAGCATGCTCAAAGAGTCCTACAGTTAGGATATAGTGCCAGGTTTTAACCCAGATCAGTGTGAATTCCAAGCCTAGGTTCTGCCTACCACACCAGCAGCCTCCCTCCATGGGTTTTGAGATAGGATGAGGAGATAAAGTGACAAGGGAAAGATACAGAGAGGTGGAGCACTGTACCTTCTTTGAATCCTTGCAGGTGGACAGGTAGACAGCTGTGGGGAAAGATTGAGAAGGGATGGGATGCTGGAGTGGTAGAGGTGGAGGGCAGAGGGATGGGTGTCAGGCTCTTGGGAGTAGGTGGGGAAAGTCCACCAACCTCAGGTCATGGTCAGGGTAGGGCTGACACTTACCAGCCCAGCCCAGTGCCTTGAAGAGCCCAAGCAGAAGAAAGGCAGACAGGAAAAGGCCTACGCTGTCCTCAAGGGAGGGCCCTGAAAGACCTGGCAGGCAGAAGGGGTGAGAGTGAGCTCCTGTCTTCCTGGGTGCTGGCTCAGATTCCGCAGAGCTCCCAGCTCTTACCTGCTACCTCCAGGGTGACCTCAGCGCTGCGCCCCGAGGCAGGCAGGCTGGGATGGTGAATTCGACAGGCATAGCGTGCCCCATGCTGCTCAGTGGTGACTGGGGGCGGCTGCAAGTGCCCAGAGAGGCTGACAGAGCCATCGGAATGGTGGCGCAGGGCCGAGAGCCACCTCTGCCCCTCGGCCTTCTGAGAGCGGCCCCCTGGGCCACCCCGGAGTTCCCACTCCACCTCCAGGCCCCCAGAAGGGTAGAAGTGGGACACAAGGCAGAGCAATTCCGGGGGTGCCTCCCCTGGGGCGGCCCGTGCAAGGGTTGCTGGCATCAGGGACACTTTGGGGGGTTCTGGGGAAAGAGGACGAAATGAGCATAGGGAAATCAGTCCATACTGTCCTCCCTAAGAGACCCTCAGTTTGCCTGCTGGCTTCCTCAGAACTAAAGAAGGTTAGGTTTCTTCTCCTGAAATAGGGTACCCACTGTCTCTCCATTGGTGCGTCACAGAAATACCCATGTCAAAGCCCCTCAAATTTCCAGGAAACTTCTAGCCTCCCATTATCCCTCTAACTCCCAGGAACCTCTTTCTATCTCTACTTACTTGCCCAGGCACCCTCTTATCCATCATCCCTCCCCCTATTACGGTCACCACAATCCAGTGCCCACCCTCTACCCCTGGAGACCTCTGTCCCCCAACTCACTGTACACAGCAAGCTCCAGGGTGACCTGTCCTTGCAGGTATGGCAGGTGTATGGTGGCCAGATAGGTGCCCTCCTGAAAGGGTTGAACTCTAGGCAGCCAGAAGGTCCCATTTCCGGTCCATGGGCCCCATGGCTCATCATCATCCCAAGCAGCAAATGCCACGGCCCCTTCTTGGGCTGCTGGCATCTGGCCATTCAGCCCAGGAGTTGCAGCCAGGAGCAGATGTCCCTTACCCAGGTGCTGGCGTCGCCACTCTAGCCCAAAGGGAGGGGGACCCGGAGCCAGAGATGAGGCGGCCTCGGAGGTGGGGGGCATGTAGGCAAAGCTCAAGTCCAGCAGAGCATCTTGTCCCAGTCTCACTCGAGGGGCAGGGGTGTGGGTGAGGACAGTCAGTACCACTGAGGAAGACAGGGAGATGAGGGGTTGGGAGGGGCATGAGGGAGAGAAAGAAGGAGAAAAAAATAGAGAAATGCAGTTATTGGGGAGGGCTAAACTGCAGTTTACCCACCCCTCAGAGGACACCTTTTCTGATACTCACCATTTCCTAGCCCTCCCTGCAAACTCCTTTTGCTCTGCGACTGGGTGGCACCTAGTGTGGCTGAGGGTGAGCAGAGAGGTCTAGGGGTGGTGAGTAGGGGCAATGAGGGGGTATGGCCTTTGAAGCCTACTCTGAACACATAGCACACTCTAGCTCGGGGGACTGCAGAATCCGAGGCCACTTCTGACACAACCTGAACCACTCTATCTCCAAGCACCACCCTTGAGGAACCAGGCCTTTCTTGATTACAGGCGAAGACAATGATTGAGCCATGACTGTCAGTCTTGTGGTGCTGTACAGAATATTTACTGACTCTAGAAGGTTCCAGCTCTAGCCTAGACCTGAGCACAGACCTCTATGCTCTACTGAAGCAGTACAGTGCAGTGGCTAAGTGCCTGGAGCCTGGCTGACCGGGTTCAAATCCCCTCTGCAGCTTATTTATATGGCCTTGGGCCACTTCCTTTTTCCATGGCTCAGCTTCCTAATCTCTAAAATTAAAAGTTGATGATAATAATAGTACCTACTTCATGAGGTTGTTGTGATGGTTAAATCATTAATACCTCTTGCTACTCAAGTCTATTCAGTTCCCAATTTTAGATAACAGAGACACCTACCCATGAAGGGTGCTTACAACACTGTCTGGAACACAGTAAGTCTACACGTGTTTGCTATAGTTACACCTAACTTAGCATACCCCAAGTCAACAGCATCTCTGCAACATTCCCCACCCTGCTCCAATGCCCATCTTCCCTGTCTTTGATGAATGATCACCAAGCCCGCCAGACACTAAAAGCAAACCCTTGGAGTTACTCAGACTCATTTATTCATTCAGCAACTATTGAGCACTGAAGATGTTCAAGGTATCCTGGTAGAAGACAGAATGGTGAACAAGACAAGCAGTCCCTGCTCTCAAATTGCCTATAGTCCAATGACAGACAAGCAAATTGTCAAAAATAATGTGCTATGTGCTATCCCCACCAGGACCTAACAGATCTCACATCTGTTTCCAATTTAGGTTCTCATCAATGTACGTTTAGACAATTACAACAGCCCTCCTGTCTGGTCTCCCTATTCTCAGTCTCTCCTTCAACTCCTTCTTCACACTGTAGCCAAACAAAGTGACTACAAGTCTGATCCCATCACCTACCTGTTTAAAAATCCCAAATATGGGCCAGACGCAGTGGTTCATGCCTATAATCCCAGCACTTTGGGAGGCCGAGGCGGGTGGATCACCTGAGTTCGGGAGTTTGAAACCAGCCTGACCAACATGGTGAAACCCCGTCTCTACTAAAAATACAAAATTAGCCTGGTGTGGTGGCACATGCCTGTAATCCCAGCTACTCGGGAGACCGAGGCAGTAGAATTGCTTGAACCCGGGAAGCAGAGGTTGCGGTGAGCCGAGATTGTGCCATTGCACTCCAGCCTGGGCAATAAGAGGGAAACCCCGTTTCAAAAAAAAAAAAAAAAAATCCCAAATACGGCCAGGCGTGGTGGCTCACACCTGTAATCCCAACACTTTGGTAGCCTGAGGCGGGTGGATTACCTGAGGTCAGGAGTTCAAGACCAGCCTGGCCAACATGGCAAAACCCTGTCTCTACTAAAAATACAAAAATTAGCCAGGTGTGGGGGCAGGCACCTGTAGTCCTAGCTACTTGGGAGGCTGAGGCAGAAGAATCACTTGAACCTGGGAGGTAGAGGTTGCCGTAAGCCGAAATCATGCCACTACACTCCAGCCTGGGCAACAGAGTGAGACTCCGTCTCAAAACTAAATAAATAAATAAAATAAAAATCCCAAATACCTAGGAAGTCAGCTGATAAAGGCATAGGCTGAAGCTATATGGCCTGGGTTCAATTTCTAGCCCTGCTTCTTTTTTTTTTTTTTTTTTTTTTGAGATAGAGTTTTGCTCGTCACCTAGGCTAGAGTATAGTGGTGTGATCTTGGCTCACTGCAACCTCTGCCTCCCAGGTTCAAGTGAGTCTCCTGCCTCAGCCTCCTGAGTAGCTGGGATTACAGGCGTCCACAACCGTGCCCAGCTAATTTTTGTATTTTTGGTAGAGATGGGGTTTCACCATGTTGCCCAGGCTGGTCTTGAACTCCCGACCTCAGGTGATCCGCCTGCTTTGGTCTCCCAAAGTGCTGGGATTACAGGCATGAGCCACCACGCCTGGCCTCTAGCTCTGCTTCTTACACACTGTGTGTCCTTGGGCAAATTATTTAACTGGTTTGTGTCCTATATTTATCCATATGCAATACAGGGATAATATTAAAACCTACAACCTATGGTTGTTGAGAGGAATAAGTGAGATTATGCATATAAAGTGCTTAGAACAGGGCCTGGCATATAGAAAATACTTGATAAATGTTAGCTGTTACTATTTTCATTACCTTCATCACTATCATGGACTTGCTGGTTAACTTGGAAAAATCATTTAACCTGTATTTTCCTCACTAGTCCAAAGATCTGACCTTTGCCTATCTTTTAAAAGAATCAAGTAAAATAACAGGCTTTTTCCGGGCATGGTGGCTAACACATGTAATCCCAGCACTTTGGGAGGCTGAGGCGGGTGGATTACCTGAGGTCAGGAGTTCGAGAGCAGCCTGGCCAACATGGTGAAACCCCATCTCTACTAAAAATACAAAAAAAAAAAAAAAAAAAATTAGCGGGGCGTGGTTGTGGGTGCCTGTGATCCCATCAACTTGGGAGGCTGAGGCAGGAGAATTGCTTGAACCCAGGAGGCAGAGGTTGCAGTGAGCCAAGATCACCCCATTGCACTCCAGCATGGGTGACAAGAGTGAAACTCCGTCTCAAAAAATAAATATGTACATAATAAAAACAGGCTTTTTAGAATAACACGCCCTCCAAAAGAACTTCTGATGGTTCGCTCTCACCTACAGAACAAAGCCCAGCTTTCAAGGTATTTGAACATTCAGCCCCTAACCCACCCTTCCAGGCTTCTCCTGCACCCTACAAACCAGCCACATAGAACCCCTTTCTTGTGCCTAGTAGAAGTGGTCATCATTGGTCATCTCTTTGCTTTGGTCATGAGGTCCCTTCAGTTTACATTGTCTTTCCCATTTTCTCCCAAACATCTATCAAGCTTGTCCAACCTCCAGCCCAGGGACCACATGCAGCCAAGGACGGCTTGGAATACAGCCCAACACAAATTCATAAACTTTCTTAAAACATTATGAGATTTTTTCACATTTTTTTTTTTTAGCTTATCAGCCATCGTTAGTGTTCGTATATTTTATGCATGGCCCAAGACAATTCTTCTCCCAGTGTGGCTCAGGGAAGCCAAAAGATTGGAGACCCCTGATCTAAATACTCCATGTACATGAAGGTCACTTTCACTGCTGTTTCTTCCCAGAAATGTCTAGGTCCTTCAGGTAGAAGTAATCTTTTTCTTCTTGTAATTATTTTTATGTTCTTTTTAATCCTAGCTTCTGAGGCCTATAAGGTTTAACTGTTCTCATCTTCATGGAATTGTTCAGTAGAGTAAAAACAGTATGCAATTTCACTTAGTTTGTCAAAATCCAGAAACATACTTTTGAATTGTTAAAAAAAAAAAAAAGATCCACAGGCTGGGCACAGTGGCTCACGCCTGTAATCCCAGCACTTTGGGAGGCCGAGGCCGGTGGATCACCTGAGGTTGGGAGTTTGAGACCAGACTGGAGAAACCCCGTCTCTACTAAAAATACAGAATTATCCGGGCATGGTGGCACACGCCTGTAATCACAGCTGCTTGGGAAGCTGAGGCAGGAGAATCACTTGAACCTGGGAGGCGGAGGTTGTGGTGAGCCGAGATCATGCCATTGCCCTCCAGACTGGGCAACAAGAGCAAAACTTGATCTCAAAAAAAAAAAATCCATAGAATTAATAAACAAAACCTGGCTGGGCAGGGTGGCTCAGACTTGTAATCCCAGTACCTTGGGAGGCTGAGGTGGGAGGATCACTTGAACCCAGCAGTTTGAGACCAGCCTGGGCAACATAGCAAGACCCCATCTCTATTTAAAAGAAAAAATTTAAAAAAATAATAAACAAGACCTAAAGGTTTTACAGTTTAACTCTTTTTTTTTTTTTTTTTTTTTTTTGGAGACAGGGTCTCACTCTGTCACCCATCAAAGGTGCAATCCTCCCAACACAGCCTCCCGAGTAGCTGGGACCATAGGTACATGCCACGACACCCAACCTTTTTTTTTTTTTTTTTTTTTTGAGACAGTTTCACGCTTGTTGCCCAGGCTGGAGTGCAGTGGCATGATCTTGGCTCACTGCAACCTCCGCCTCCCAGGTTCAAGCAATTCTCTTGCCTCAGCCTTCCGAGTAGCTGGGATTACAGGCATGCACCACCATGCCTGGCTAATTTTGTATTTTTAGTACAGACGGGGTTTCTCCATGTTGGTCAGGCTGGTCTTGAACTTTCGACCTCAGGTGATCTGCCCACCTCGGCCTCCCAAAGTGCTGGGATTACAGGCATGAGCCACTGCGCCCAGCATTTTTTTAATTTTTAGTAGAGACAAGGTCTGGTTATGTTGCCCAGGCTGGTCTTGAACTCCTGAGTGCAAATGATCCTCCCACCTAGACCTCCCAAAGTGCTGGAAGTACAGGCGTGAGTCACCTCACCTGACTCCATAATATTTTAAAAGAATGGTGAGAATTAAACACTATACACACAAAGTATATTAAGAAAGTATAGGCCTGGCGTGGTGGCTCACGCCTGTAATCCCAGCAATTTGGGAGGCTGAGGTGGGTGGATCACCTGAGGTCAGGAGTTCAAGACCAGCCTGGCTAACATGACCAAACCCTGTCTCCACTAAAAATACAAAAATTAGCTGGGCCTGGTGGTGGGCGCCTGTAGTCTCAGCTACTTGGGAGGCTGAGACAGGAGAATTACTTGAACTCAGGAGGCAGAAGTTGAAATGAGCAGAGATCACACCATTGCACTCCAGCCTGGGCAACAGGGTGAGACTCTGTCTCAAAAAAAAAAAAAAAAAAAAAAAGTATATTTGGGGCCAGGCAGCTCACACGTGTAATCCCAGCAGTTTCGGAGGCCAAGGTGGGCAGATCAATTGAGCCCAGGAGTCCAAGACCAGCCTGGGCAACCTGACAAAAACCCATCTCCACAAAAAAAATACAAAAATTAGCTGGGCATGGTGGCACATGCCTGTGGTCTCAGCTACTCAGGAGACTGAGGCACGAGGATCACTTGAGCCACGGAGGTGGAGGTTGCAGTGAGCTGAGATCATGCCACTGCTCTCCAGCCTGCACTGCACTCCAGCCTGGGCGACAGAGGGAGACCCTGTCTCAAATAAATAAATAAATAAGCATATTTGTCAATAAACATTTAAAAATATTTGATAAGACAAGTATAAATGTATATTAGCAAAATCATGAATGATCTTGGACCCTGGAGAGATTTCATTTCTAATTTTACATCAGTACAACAGCTTTCATTTTCTTAAATCCCTGATCAAGCAGAAATGCTTGAAAAGAAAGAGCACAGCAGGCCGGGCGTGGTGGCTCATGCCTGTAATCCCAGCACTTTGGAAGGCCAAGGTGGGTGGATCACCTTAGGTCAGGAGTTCAAGACCATCCTGGCCAACATGGTGAAACCTGTCTCCAATAAAAATACAAAAATTAGGTGGGCGTGGTGGCACAAGCCTGTAATCCCAGCTACTGGGGAGGCTAAGGCACAAGAATTGCTTGAACATGGGAGACGGAGGTTGCAGTGAGCCAAGATCATGCCACTGCAACTGCACTCTAGCCTGGGCAATAAGAGGGAGACTCCGTCTCAAAAATAAATAAATAAATAAATAGCAGGCAGGCGCAGTGGCTCACGCTTGTAATCCCAGCACTTCGGGAGGCGAGGTGGGAGGATCACCTGAAGTTGGGAGTTCGAGACCAGCCTTACCAACATGGAGAAACCTCATCTCTACTAAAAATACAAAATTAGCTGGGTGTGGTGGCAGGCACCTGTAATCCCAGCTACTCGGGAGGCTGAGGCAGGAGAATTGCTTGAACCAGGGAGGCGGAGGTTCCGGTGAGCGTGAGATCACGCCATTGCACTCCAGCCTGGGCAACAAGAGCAAAACTCTGTCTCAAAAATAAATAAATAAATAAAATAAAAATAAATAAATAGCACAGCACCTTGCTTTGACCCCAGTTGTTTGTGAAATACAGACAATCTTACCACCCGGGCACTTCCAGGGCTCCCTGTCTGCATGTCCTTCACTTTCTACTTTACATTAGGATTATCCGTGGCAAATACGCCCAGAACCTCCTGGAGAGCAGAGTCTACATCAGATCATCTTTGTGACCCTTAAGGGCACCCAGGGCCACCCCAGAGATTCTGATTTAATCGGCCAAGCTAAGCATGGGATTGAATCAGGTTTCAGTATATTTTAGAAACCTCCAACAGTGTGGACTGAGAACTGCTGAGTCCTAACTCATTCTTGGTGCTAAAAAGTATTTATTGAATCAATGGATAAATTAACACAGTGCCATCTCTTGATAGTCACAACAAGAAAAGCAGCTGGGAAATAGTATCCACATTTTACAGTTGGAAAAACAAACTCAGAAAGCAAAGACCATTCTCATCATCACCTCGGTGGAGCCAGTAGCCCTAGGAAATATTCCACCCCACCAGAGAGAGCTACTGTCTACACAAGAGCAGTGTTCCTCAGCTTCTGCCAGGGTGGGGGCTTGAGACTAAGAATGGAGGTATAGGCAGAGGTGAGGGTTTCAGCGTGGGTTTCAAGTCTGTCTCCCTGGTTCTGTGGGTAATTCTCAGGAGGGTGGAGGGAAGGGAGGGTGCAGGGATTGGTTGGGGTTGCCCTGTCCATCGGGCTGTGTCGCTGACATAAAATCCAGATAGAAAAGCTAAGAACTCTACCGGTATTCTACCCCGGAATACCCCGCCTCCGCTGCCAGGAGGGAGAGCTCCCAGATATCCAGGTCAGACTCTCCTCATTCTTGAATTATCTGCACAGTCCCTCCCACGTCCCAGCCTAGAAAAGCTTCTGACTCCTGGGCCTCAAACTGCAATGCACCTTTCAGTGCAATAGGAGCTATCCAATCTCCAGCCGCGTCCATCCGCCCACTCGAGCCCACCTGTTTGCGGACCACAGAGCGGCAGCACATCCCTACACGGGGCTGTCAGGCAAGGTCAACGCGCTAGAGTGCAAGAGCCTTTGCTTTGCGGATTGCCGCAGCGCCGGGTGTGGGCGCAGGTGGGGATAGAGTGCTGGGTTTTGAAAGAGTGACCCGCAAAGCTGAGGGTGCAGAGCAAGACACAGATCTGGGAAGAGCAGAGAAAAAACGCTGCTGCTTCTGAACCCCTCCCACCTCGCATCACCTGACAAGTCTCTCAAGGTCTGGTGTCGGGAAACCCCACCTCTTCAAAGCCCCGCCCTTCGAAACACCAGAAAGTAACCCCCCTGCCCGGCCCTGCTTTCCCCCTACCCCCTGCCAAGCTGCAGTTTTTTTTTTGTTTTTTTTTTTAACTGGGTGAGGGCTAGAAGGAGCGGTAGAGATTGATTCATTCTAGCCAAACCACCTCTCTTAACAAAAAAAGGAAACTGAACCCCGATTGGCGAAATGTCTTGCTCAAGTCCATAAAGCGAGACCACCGGCTGATCTGGACCCTTAGAATCTACCCACCCTTCTCCACCTCCCCTCCCCAGCTACCTGTTGCCATGGTGATGAGAACAGGCTCCTGCTGAGGCTCTGGCTGTGGTCGCAAGAGGCTGGAGAGGCTGAGGACTGGGCTGGATATGCTGACCATCAGCCAAGCCCCATCCAGGGCCCGCGGGCAGTTCTGCGCGGGGGTCAGGCCGCTGGCCCATTTCGCAGAGGCGGGGAGAGGCACGAAGCGGCTCATCTCGCAGTGTGGTGCGGGGGCGCCCCGGGGATACCGCCTGAAGGCAGCCTGGAGGGCGCCCGCGGGGTCTGAGTGTAGAGAAGGAAGTTGCAGCTGTAGAGTCACCGCCGGGAAAGGGGCTGGAAGGGCAGCGTTCGGGGAACTTCAAATGCACAGACTACCCCGTAGTGAGACTCACTTTACAAAGGGGAAGCTGAGGCCTGAGGTCACTGCCGGATCTAAAGAGGAGGGGGTTTCGGTGGAGGCGACAGAGGTAGGGGGGCGGCGAGTCCCTAGAGACTCACCGTGTACACTGAGATAGAGCTCAGGGTCGAGGTCCGGCCGGGGCGGCGGTTCCCCCGGTCCCTGGCGCAACAGCAGTGCACCGGGTCTCTTGGCCAGGCCCTTTCCGCTCGCATCCTCCACGAACCAACACTCGATCACCGCGGGTCCTGCTGAGACGGCGGTCGCCAGGCCTGGCGTATAGGGACGCGAGTGAGGAGCGGTTTGTATGTCTGGTGACCTGCCCCACTCCCACCCTGGCATCGGCTCCAGTGGGGCCACCTCCCTCCGCTTCCCTCTAGTTCTTGGGCGATGAGTCGCGGGGTTCGCTCACCCAAAGCCACAGCGAGGAGCAGAGACAGGGACTTCATGGCGCTGCGACCTCCTCAGCCATGAAGCCTCCTCTTCCTCCTTTCACTTTCACTTTCCTCCAAAGGGCGGCATGAGGGGCGGTGGAAATCCCCGCTCTGGTTAGGTGAAGGTGCCTGGGGGACCGGTGTTTCCCCACTGGCCAGGCAGGGACCCGGGTAGATCCTCTCCAGTTCTCACCAGGATACCCCAGCCTTACCGCGCCCTCCTGGACTACCCAGCAGCCCCGAGTTCGAGCCCTCCCCAACCCCAGGCCCTCCCCCGCCCCCCAACTCCTGTGTGTGCTCTCCAACATCCACTTGCCCGAAAACCATTACTCCGGCTTCCCCCTATCTGTGCCGCGTCCCCAGCAAACACACGGGTTGTCGGGAAGCCAAGTAAATGACCAATAAATATTTTAATCACTGTTAAAAAAAATAAAAACCTTGTACTCCTACGACTTACTCCCTCCTTGTCTCCACCCACTCCTCCATGAGAACCGAGTTGGGAATTTCCACGGGAAGTCGGGGGTGGCGGGGAGAAACAGGGTAGAAATAAAGAGCGCATCCTTGAGAGGGGGTAGGTTCTAGGACAAGGGTGGGGCTCAAAGGCCTTGTCTCCACGACAACACAAACACAGACTTCAGGCACAGACTACAACCACCTGACCCCTGACCCTGTGACTGCAGGATGTTCAACACGCCCCCTCTCCCTCCCTCCATGTGCAATCTACTCTGTGGAGCAGGGGCTTCAGTGTACCCATCAGAGGGAAAGGAAGGGTTTAGTTCTGGAAATACCTTGGGGGGGAGGGGTTGAGTAGTAGAATGGGCGGGTGATGGTGAAACTGTGGTTCCCCTTCCAGAATATATACAAGTCCACAGAGATAAAGGAAGACAGTAAGTGTGGTGGGAGATCACCCGGGGGCCACAGCGCCCTTGCATCGTGCTCCTTATTCCCTTTCCCGAAAGCTACCCCACCCCAGTAGCCTGCCCCTTCAGTTTGCTCCTCCACCTCCACCGAAGCCCATCTCCACCTTGTGGACTCTGGGTGGGGACCAGACACGTCTGCTGGACGGGGGCGTGGCCGCACTCGCTTCGTCGCCGCTGCCCCCGCCCACTCCGGGAGACTCTCTCTTGGACGGCAAGGATGGCCCCGTGGGAGTCCCAGGCCCAGGTACGGCCCCGACCCCGCCCAGGCGGTGCCGGCGCTCACAGTGTCCTCGGTGGCGCATGAAGCTGTCTCGCCACATGAACTTCTTGGCGCAGACTCCGCACTCGTAGGGCTTGAGACCTGTGTGCGTCTTCATGTGCTCAGTCAGATGGTGCTTCATCTTGAACTTTTTGTTGCACACGGGGCAGTCAAACGGCCGCAGATTGAGGTGCATGTTCACGTGCCGGTCCCGCATGCTCTTGTGGGAGAAGGCCTTCCCACAATGGCACAGAAAGATCTTATTCCCGTCCCCACTGCCAGTCCCTCCAGGGACCCCACCAACGCTACCCGGCACACCCAGGCTCCCCACCGACGTGCCCCCCACGGTCACTGCCCCGTGTTCTGCTTGGTTCCCTGGTGGTTGGCCAGGAGCCTGTGAGGATGAGGATGAAGACGACGACGGGAAGACCAGGATCTGGTTGCCCTGCATGTCCAAGGGAAGGAGCGGTCGAGGAGGGTGGGAGGGGGCATAGGAAGAGGGAGTTGGCCCCCCTGAGTCATCAAGACCTGCCACAGGACCCCCACCCTCATATGGGCCAAAGTCATTGGAGGACTCACAGAAGTTGACCTGCTCCTCCCCCTTGTCTGGGGGCTCACTCAGGGTACGGACATCACTTATGCTGAGGGTAGCCTCAGGCCCTCCCCCCACTGGAACCCTGGAGCTACCCCCTAGTTCTTCATCTTCATCATCCTCACAGGTCAACACCAGATCTTCCTCCTCCTCTTCCTCCTCCAGATCTGGGTCTTGGGGAACCAGGGGTGCTGGCGCTGGGCAATTACCACCTCGCTTCACGTATACCCAGTGTTTCTGTGGCATGATGCTAGGGGGTGTGTAGGTGGGTCTCCGGAGCCCAGCCCCAGGAACCACTGCCCCCCTCCCATCCCCACCATCATCGCACAGCTCATCTGCCTCCAGCAGCAGCTTTCCAGATGTGGCCCCTCCACTGCCAACGACAGGGGCTGGGAATACAGGGCCACCTCCTCGACGCTCCCCACTGCCCACTGCAGAAGCTGCAAATGCCTCTTGGGAGGAAGATGAGAAATCAGTGGACTCCCTGGGGCTGAAGTAGTTGCTGCTGCTGGGAGATTGATTCTCACTGGCCCGGCTGGAGGCATGGGAGCGCGCAGAGCCCATGGTAGCAGGGGCCACAGTGCCCCCACTCCCGGATGGCACCCCAGCACCAGGGACAGTGACAGAGGTGGCTGCAGCAGTAGTGATGGTGGTGGTAGCTGAGGCCCGGCCTTCTCGGAGTAGTTCAGTGCACTTGTCCACAATGTGCCACATTTGGAGCACAGACCCCACTGTAAGGAAGTTGACAATGTCAGCAGCAGCCATGCTGAGGCGGCCAGTGTAAGCGGAGGCTAGGACAGTCTCAAAGGCGCCTGGGTCCATGACACTGGGCAGCGAGATGGAGGTCATGCCTTTGAGTAGGACCTGATCATGGAAGTAAGGGGAGGAGGCAGCCAGGACAGCCCGATGAGCCCGGAACTCCCGGCCCTGCACTCTGATAGATACATCGCAGAGCTGGCCCTGCAGACGCTGCTGATTGAGGGACTCCAAGAGGGCACTGGTCACCTCAGGGAAGGACACATGTACCACTGCAGCTGCTGGCAGGGGTAGTGGGGGCGGAGCCAGCGACAGCGGCAGGGGAAGTGCTGCCCCACTGGGAGACAGAGGAGATGGCTCCATGTTGTGGAGGGAGGGGATACCCCCCCAGCCACAGGAACAAAGAAAGGAGGAGGGCGGCCGGGGGGGTCTCTGGGAAGAAAAAGAGAAAAGAATAATGATAACATCTCATAACGACACAGCCCGTTACAACTCAAAAATATGTTCACGCTCATTATCTGTGTAACTCCCCACAACAGTGAGGTAGGTATTCCTCTCAACCCCATTTGACAGATGAGGAAACTAAAGCTCAGAAAGATTAAGAGATTATCCAAGGTCACACAGCAAGTGGCAGCGCCAGCAAACACAGGTATCTGACAAATCTTGTGCCCTTTCCTTGGAGGTTAGAGAAATAAGGTGCTCTTAGGGGCTGGAGTGGCTTCCTTCGGAATTATACCCTATTTCCGACTTACCTGAGAGCCTGACATTCCAAAATCTACCTTTTTGGTGTTTTGCACCCACTTTTTGGGAGGGGGCAGGGCAGCTCTGCTACTGAAAACCAACGCTTGCTCCATCTCCCCTCAGGCTATGCCCCCCAAGCTCTCTCGCCGACCACGCCCCCTTTCGCCCCAGCTTCTCTAGCCCCGCCCCTCTCCAGGCCCACCCCCCCCGTGCCCCGCCCACTATCGGGCCTTTCGACCCCGCCCCTTGTCTACCTCCGCCCACAACGGACCCCGCCCCCCCCCGCTCCGCCCCAAGCGCTACCTCGGCCTCTTCTCCCACCCGGAAGGCGCCCCCCAACCTCGCGCGTCCCCGCTTACCGGGCCGCGCGCCCCCGGGCCCCCCCCGCCCCTCACTCGGCGGCCAGAGCAGCAACCTGGGCCCCTCCCGCCGCCATCTTGCGCCGACTCCCTCCGCCCTCCGCCTCCGCTCCGCCTCCCGCCCCTCCGCCTTTAAAGGCACAGCCGGGCACCCCGCCCGTGCCGCTGGGCAATACTCGGCCGACTCGGCCACTTTGCCTTTAAAGAAACATCGCCACATTCCACCTTAAAAGATCAGGTCCCCTCCTCCGCTGGGAGCTCAGGACTTGGTTCGGCCGAAGCATTTATTCCCCTTTAAAGCTATAAGCCTGCCTTTTCCCATTGGCGATGGGTCCAGGTATCGTTCCCCAGGCTCCGCCTCTGAGCTGTGACCATTAGCTGGTTGGTGGGATCTAATCGCCCTCTTCCTAGCTCCTTACAGTCCCACTGAAGCCCCGCCCCCTTTCTCCGGGCCTGGATTGGCTAAATAACCTTGAGTCGGCCCCTCATTGGCTTTCTCACTCCTACTGCACGAAGTGAAAAAGTAAAGTGCGTTAAGGCGGCTGAAGCACTTAAAAAAAAAAAAAAGTACTGCCTGAACAACGTGGCGAAACCCCGTCTCTACAAAAAATACAAACAACAAAAACAAAAATTAGCCAGGCATGGTGGCACGCGCCTGTAGTCCCGGCTACTCGGGAGGCTGAGGCATTATCGCTTGAGACTGGGAGGTCCAGGCTGCAGTGAGCTGTGATCTCACCACTGCACCCTGGCCTGGGCGACACAGCGAGACAAAAAAAAAAAAAAAAAAAAAAAAGGCCAGGCTAGAAAGGACAGAGCGGGACTACCCCGGGGATACTGGGCTAACCCTGAGCAAGGGGACAGCTAATGCCAATCTGTAACAGTAGAAGGACAAGAAAAAGACAGTGATACAGTAAGAAAAGAACTTTATTGTTTATTAATGTTTCTGTGTAAAACTTAAGCTTTTTTTTTTTTTTTAAAGAAACACCACCAAAAGGGGATTAGCTTAGTCCATCCCTTCCTCAGTCATCTGCTTCCCACCTTCCTCCAAATGTTATCCCAGAACATTCTGGAGGCAGGGAGAAGGGGAGGCAGCTAATCAGAGTCTGAGAGCACGATGATCTCTTCTGGATCGCATTGTGTGGCCACACTTGTCTGCAGGGAAGTGAGAGACAAAGAGTCAAAGAGATCTGGAGTACAGGAGAAAAGAAACAGGAGGATTTAGAGGATAAAATGGGTGGGAAAAAGGAAGAGACAGGATGTGGCACGTGGAATATTCAGACAGAGCAGCTGAAACAGCCAATGAAAGAGAACAAATTGTCAGAGGAAACACGCCCTCCCCTTCTTACCTTGCAAGTACCAGGCCGAGGAGGCTGTGAATGGGGGGTTTGGGACAGCCGGGCTGGAGAAGGGATGCAGAGGGAGCTGGTCACCAGGCCATGGCTGGGAGAGTCCACCCTCGTGGAGGAATCAGCAACTGGGGCCAAGGAAGCCAAGGGGGAAGGTGGGCTGGGCAGGGTACATATCTTTTTCCCATTCTTCTCATGCACTGACCTTTGCCTTTCCACATAGCTAGAAACAGAAACATAAATATGTGGAGGGGTACGGGAAGACTGAGGCTGGAGGGGGGCAGTCCAGTCTCTCCCAGCAGACTCAGTTCCCCAGTATTGCTCTCCGAAAGTCCCCTGCAATCCCTCCTTGGCTTCCCTCTTCCTCCTCCTCTTGTTATTACCTGTTTCCTAATGGCCCTGATCCTGTTTGCTTCTTCTCCTTCCGAGATTTTTTGCAGGGGGGACCAGAATCTCCCCAGTTGTGAGGAGAGACGCCTCCATTGAAGGAAGTAGAAGAGACCATGCCTGCTCCATTCTCTAAGACAGTGGTGAAGGGCTCCTCTGATTGCTTCCTGGAAGAGGAAATGTCCGTCTCCACAGAGGAAGGGGTATCCAGGGGCAAAGCTTCAATCTCTAGCTCAAAGAGCTGAGACACAGGGCTTTCTTCCTCCAGGGTCAGCTCCTCAGGCTGTTCTCCATTGCTTTCAGCATCTATGCTGGAGGGGGCCAGGGGTTCTTCTGACAGTAACGATGGTGACACTATGCGTCCTTTGTTTTGCTGCTCCCCTGAAGATCTGCTGATCTGTTTGCCAGGTTCCAGGTTCTTTTCATTGGAGATCTGTAGTGAGGACATGGGGCTCTTGTCTCCATCTTTACCTGGAAAAGAAGAAAAGGGGAGAGGGTAGCCTGAGAATGAGGGGGAAAAAATACTGCTGAGAGGACACTAGGAGGAGGAAGGGAAAGGTTTCAAACAGGTGGCTCATGCCTAACAAAACAGAAATGACAGGTGAGGAGAATGTTCCCTTGACATACCTGCTGCTGCTTCTTCCTCTTCGTCCTCCTCTTCATCATCCTCCTGACCCTCCTGCATCTGTTCCAGATCCTCCTCCTCTTCAGAATCTGTGGCCTCCTCCTCTTCTTCTTCCTCCTCCTCCTCCTCTTCCTCATCACTCTCCTCATCGTCTTCGTCATCTGTCTCAGCTCTGGAGGCAGAAGGGCACCCCTGGGATGCCATTCCACTAGGGCCCTGGGAGACAAAGAAGTTTCTCTAAGGAATCCCTTGCCCCAGAGGGTTTGGTTCTTGCTTTCCTTCTCATGCTCCCCCATCAGTCAACCTGGACTCCCTGGTGGCCAGTGCAGGGGAAGGACAATGTCTCTCTGAAGGCTGTACCCCATCCACACCTCACCAGAATCCAAGGAGGCTTCGGGGGTGTCTGCAGAGTGGGAAGAGGTGCCTTGGAGCCGAGCTCTTCTCTTTTTTCTCTCGCCCTCCTCACTTTTGTCTTGCAACATTGCATATTTGGAGATGACCTCATCCAGCCGACTCATGGCCAAACTCCGGTTTTCCCGAAGGCGCCGGGCCAACACAGGATCTGATAGTGCAGGGTCAACGCCTACGTGGGAAGACATAAAGTCAGAGCACTCAGCCCTTGAAGGGACTAGAAGAGTAAAAACCCTAGAAAGGACTAGAGAGATGCCCCATCCGCCTCATACCTGACATATAAGGGTCACTGAGAGGCATCCCACCAACCCCCTACCTGGCCTATAGTCATCTGTGAGGTGGCAGCCAAAGTTGTAGATGAGATCGAGGTGACGTCGCTCCTGTAACCTGATGCCCACATCTCGGAAGGCATCCTGAGCCATGAGCTGGAGCTGCTGTCGGGGGAGGCCAAGGCTGTGTCGGGCAGCTGCCTTCTCTACAGCCCGAAGCACATCCCCATAGTCAGGGAAGGTATCAGGCCCTGGCTTGTTGATGAGCCGCTCAATGCGCCTGTTAACCTCTGGGTAGCGGGTGCCACGGTAGGGGATGCGCTGCTCTATGACACGGCCGGTCAGTGAAGAGCAGTCTTTCAGCTCACATAGTCGCCCAAAGAGGCGGATCAGCTTACGCTTCAACCGTGCCTCCTGCAGGTATGCGGAGTCTGGGTCATCCAATTCTGAGAGATCCAACTCCTTTTCCTGCAGCCGCCGGATCTCTGCCACATAGAGCGCCAGCAGCTGCTCCAAACGCTGGATCTGCCGCCGGGAACCACGGGTCCTTGGAGACTGAGAGGCAGTGTTTTCAGCATTTGTGGGGTCCAAGGAGAGGTGTGTGGGAGGGTTATTCCCAGAGGGCTCATTGGAGGTGGTGGCGGCAGGGGCCAAGTTCAGCTTCTTTTTGGCTGAGTGGGCCTTGAGAACAGTGCAGAGCTCATTGATGTAGACATAGAGCTTGGCTGGCCGGCTCCGGGCCCGAGACAGGACCCTAGAGAGGATGTTGCAGAACTCCGCCGAGGCCAAAAACAGAGAGTGGGCACGTTGCTGCCGGTTATAGAGGAATGGGACCACCTCAGGGTGGTCTGCTGTCTGCATCTTACAAAGTTCAAGGAACTAGAAGGTTCAGGGGAAGAAGGAAGGGGAAGAGAGACAAGGGAGGGGGTTGAGAGAAAGGGGAGGTGGGGTTAGTGGGAAAGAAAGGACAGGAGAACCAGTCAGCCATCCCCCTCCCTGGGGTACAACAATCTTCCCCGCTAAAGCTCACCTCTTCGAACAGCTTCTCATTCTCCAGCTTGTAGCATTTCTTGCCGCCCGAACTACTGCTTCCTCTGGCCCCATGAGGCTCAGAGGAGCTAGGGGCTTCTGCCCCAGGTGAGGCCGCATTGGGGAGTGGGTGGGAGGGCCCTGGCTGAGCAGCTGCTTCATCTTCGTCATCATCATCCAGCACGATGATGCTGTTAGCGGTGGCCATAGGGGATCAAATCCCCCGGAGGGAGGAAGTGGTGGGGATTTCAGAATTCCTGCTGGAAGGGGATGGGGCCTCAGAATGAGCCCCTCCAGCATAGCCCCATCCCTTCACCTCACACATTTTCTGAACTCCTTGGGTTTCAGTAACATCCAGCCCTGACCAACACTGTCTTCACCACCTGATTTCAATAACCATTAGTTCTATATGCTTTTTGGGGCCCTTCAAGTGGTGTGGGCGGGGGGCAAACCACCCCCACACCTTAAGTTGCCACCTTCTGCTCCACCCCTCACGTCGATTTCCGGTCTTTCTGTTGCATTTCCCCCCTATTTCTTAGAGTTGGCAAGTTGATTCTTCCTCCCACACTGCACCCCAAATCGTCCTGACACCCCCTTGCACAGACAACACACTCCTGTGGGCGCCACCTCATGTGTTTGCCCCCTCTGCTCTCAAACAAGTCAACCCCACACCCACCCTATCCTGAATGATCACCCCAACTCCTAGACTCTCTGAGGTGAAAGAGGTTCCCTCCCAACAGTCCGTTCTCTTTTCTCCTCCTTGAATTATCTCCATATTTCACCCTCCGATGAGTCTCCTCAAACTGGGGCTTTAGGTTGAAGATATTTTACCCAAGTCCCCTCCCTTTCACCCCACCCTAATTTTCCCCATTCTCTCGGTGACCCGTAACTGATCAAAAGTCCCCCCACACCGCGCTACGCTCTCGCGATTCCTCTTAGATCCCAACCGTGGGTCCGGCCGGTCCGCTAGATGCGCTTCCCGCCAAATCCCCCTCCCCCAGTTCAGCCCCCGGCCGCTCCACTCCCTTTCAGGGACAGGAAGGTACCACAGCATTCCCCTCAGACTCAGCGCCCAGCTCTCCCCAATACCTCTCCCTCTATATCCCCGCCCCCGCCTCTGATCCCCGCACCGTCCGGCCCCCACCTCAGAAACCGTCTCTCGAGGCGACCCTCGCCGCAATTCTCAGAACCTCGCATGGTTCCCTCCGCCTTCCTTCCCACTCCCACCGCAGGCCCCACTACGGACCGGAAGTCACAGAGTTTCCGCCTTCATGCAACTAAGCGCCGCCATATTGTCGTACGGAACACAGGCTTCCTGTGGCCGGAGGTGGCAGTAGGCCCGCCCCGCGAACACCTCCAGTGCGGCCCACATAGTCAGCGGTCTCTTCCAGGTCGGAGTTTGTCTCCCCGAACCCAGGCGTCCCAAAGCAGCTGGGGGCCGCCATTTTGCCGTACGGCACTGGCTACGCCCGGACTCCGGTGCGCAGCCAGTGGAGCTCTTTTCACCCGGTGCTTCTACGACTCCGCCAATCAGAAACTTCCTGCCTGGGGCCCAACCGCCGGAGAGTAGCGCGTAGGGAGGACCGAGCCTCGTTTCCAAGGAGGGGCAGGGGAACCGAACAGGGTGGATTAGGAATTGGGCTTTCCAAAGCTGTGCAGAGTTTCAGGGAAGGGCAGAAGTCTCTTAAAAGGGAAGTAAAACCTTTTCTTTCAGTTGGGCTATTGGCAAGCTATCTGGCCCTGCTTTCCTGTCCCCCAGGTTCCCATTTCCACGGCTTATTCGGCTGACCCAGCCCCTTCCCCTGCAAGGGCGGCGCGCTCCTTGCCGCTGTCCAGCAGCTGTTTCTACTGCCAGGTGCTGCGTCCCGCGATCGTTATAACACATGCGTACAAATGAGCACAACGCGCCATAAAAGTGTTATTGTTATTACTATTGTTGCTGATTTGCTTTTCAAGCTTCACCACAGAACTAATGACCAGCCAGACCGTTGGGACCTGAATGGTTCTTCTCCAGAGGGGGTCCTCGAAGGGCCGTCTGTGCTGACCAGGTGGCCGTGCTTTGTCGTGGGAGGCCTAGGGTCTGCGGATGGGCGATGATGGGGTGGGGCTTGGAGGAGAGTTTGTGCAAATTGCCGCTGCGAGGGCTGCTGTGAGGCGAAATGAGGCTCATAAAATACTTTGGGTCTCCTCCTCCTCCTCTTCGGGGAGAGGGGAAAAAAGAATGAAGGATGAAGAAACAGATTTGATACCCACCTCGTTGTGTTTAGGGAGGCTGGAGGGACTCGTGGAGGCAAGGCTGGGTCCAGAGGTGAGCTTATGAGGAAACCAGAAAGATTAACAGGGTCCCAATCGCTAAGATTCCCATTTCCACAAGTGGTGGGCATCTTGCCACTTAACTAGGGTCACAGAGCTTATTAGATCCCTAACGCTGAGTCCTAGAATCGCAAACACCCGTCCGTTGAACAATCCCACATCACTTCTCTCCAGTCGTCAAAGTCTACAGCTTTCAAAATGGGGAACATAAAAACTCTCCGCGAGGACTGGGACTTGGAAGATGTAAGGGATTTAATTTCAAGAACCTCAACTTTCCCAAAATTGGTCTTCCTAAGGAAACACCTGCAGTACAGGTTCTCATTCTTCACTTCTCCTTTTACAATAGAGTCACCCTCTTAAGAAAAAAAAAAAAAGAATAGTTCTCTTTTTTCCCCTCCCCCCTCAAAAGTATAGTTCTCAACCATGAAATCTCCTGGGGGTAATCTTACCTGTTTAAAATAAAGGGAAATGTACCCTGTTTCTTTCACCAAGGCACCATGAATACCACCTTTTCTTTCTTTTTTTTTTTTTTTTCCTTTCTTTTGTCTTTTTTTTTTTTAAATGCAGGGTCGGCCGGGCGCGATGGTTCACGCCTGTAATCCCAGCACTTTGGGGGTCCGAGGTGGGCGTATCATGGGGTCAAGAGATCGAGACCATCCTGGCCAACATGGTGAAACCCCGTCTCTACTAAAAATACAAAAAAATTAGCTGGGCGTGGTGGCAGGCGCCTGTAGTTCCAGCTACTCAGGAGGCTGAGGCAGGAGAACCGCTCGAATCCGGGAGGCGGAGGTTGCAGTAAGCCGAGATCGCGTCATTGCACTCCAGCCTGGGCGACAGAGCGAGATTATCTCAAAAAAAAAAAAAAAAAAAAAAAAAAAAAAAAAAAGGAAAAAAAAAGGGTCTTGTTCTATCACCCAGGCTGGAATGCGGTGGTACGGTCACAGCTCACTGTAACCTCAAATTCCTGGGCTCAAGCCATCCTCCCACCTCAAGTAGCTAGGACTACAGGCGCACACCACCTCACCTGGCTAATTTTTTTAAAAAAAGTTTTTTGTGGAGGCTGGGCGCGGTGGCTCATGCCTGTGATCCCAGAACTTTGGGAGGCCGAGGCGGGCGGATCACCTGAGGTCAGAAGTTTGAGACCAGCCTGGCCAACATGGTGAAACCCCGTCTCTACTAAAAACACAAAAATTATCTGGGCTTGGTGGCACGCGCCTGTAGTCCCAGCTACTCGGGAGGCTGAGGCAGGAGAATCGCTTGAACCCGGGAGGCGGAGGTCGCAGTGAGCTGAGATCAGCCACTGCACTCCAGCCTGGCGACAGAGCAAGACTCTGTCTCAAAAAAAAAAAAAAAAAAAAGGTTTTTTATAGCGACAGGGTCTTACTGTGTTGCCCAGATGGATCTTGAGCTCCTTGCCTCAAGCAATCTTCCCACCTCAGCGTCTCAAAGTGCTGGGATTATGGGCGTGAACCGCCACTCCCAGACTACTATCTTATTAAATATTTCTTTTTAACAGTTATAAAAATGTTTACGATCGGCCAGGCACGGTGGCTCACGCCTGTAATCCCAGCACTTTGGGAGGCCGAGGCAGGAGGATCACGAGGGCAGGAAATCGAGACCACCCTGGCTAACACGGTGAAACCCTGTCTCTACTAAAAATACCAAAAAAAAAAAAAAAAAAAATTAGCTGGGCGTGGTGGTGGGCGCCTTGTAGACCCAGCTACTCCGGAGGCTGAGGCAGGAGAATGGCGTGAACCCGGGAGGCGGAGCTTGCAGTGAGCCGAGATCGCGCCACTGCCCTCCAGCCTGGGCGACAGAGCGAGACTCCGTCTTAAAAAAAAAAAAAAAAGTGTACGATCACATGTTTATAAGAACATTCTGTTCTTATAATAATTGTAACAGTAACTCCTCCAGAATAATTTTTAACAACTAGAGTCTTACAATCACAAGAAAGATATTTTTCATCTCAATTAATATACATGTATATGCAGGAAGATGTAAAAGATTGGTCAATAAAGGACTTTCAAGTATAAAAGCATAAAGTTTGTGGGGAAGTGGAGTAGTAGTAGGAGCTCAAGGAAAAAAGAGGTGATGAAAGAAAAAAGGAATGATTCCCAACTGGTAAGAACTAATTTATACTTTTTTTTTTTTTTTGAGATGGAGTCTTGCTCTGTCGCCCAGGCTGGAGTTCAATGGCACAATCTCTGCTTACTGCAACCTCCCACTCCCGGGTTTAAGCGATTCTCCTGCCTCAACCTCCTGAGCAGCTGGGATTACAGGCACACAACACCATGCCTAGCTAATTTTTTGTATTTTTTGTATTTTTTTTTTTTTAGTGGATATGGGTTTTTGGCATGTTGGCCAGGCTGGTCTCAAACTCCTGACCTCGTGATCCACCCAACTCAGCCTCCCAAAGTGCTGGGATTACAGGCGTGAAGCACCGTGCCCGGCCATCACTATGATATTTCAATTCCACTGGACAATAAATGGTGATCTAATTGTTTTATTTTAAAATGTGGGGCCAGGCATGGTGACTCATGCCTGTAATCCTACCACTTTGGGAGGCCGAGGCGGGCAGATCACTTGAGGTCAGGAGTTCGAGACCAGCCTGACCAACATGAGGAAACCTCGTCTCTACTAGAGATACAAAAAATAGCCAGGCGTGGTCGTGGGCGCCTGTAATCCCAGCTATTTGGGAGCTGAGGCAGGGGAATCCCTTGAATTTGGGAGGCAAAAGTTGCAGTGAGCCAAGATCACGCCACTGCACTCCAGCCTGGGCGATAGAGCAAGACTCTGTCTCAAAAAATAAAAAAATAGGCCGGGCGTGGTGGCTCAAACCTGTAATCCCAGCACTTTGGGAGGCCGAGGCAGGCAGATCACCTGAGGTCAGGAGTTCGAGACCAGCCTGCCCAACATGATGAAACCCCGTCTCTACTAAAATTACAAAAAAATTAGCTGGGTGTAGTGGCGGGCGCCTGTAGTCCCAGCTATTTGGGAGGCTGAGGCAGGAGAATCGCTTGAACCCGGGAGGCAGAGGTTGCCGGAAGCCAAGATCGCACCACTACACTCCAGCATGGGCAACACAGAGAGACTGTGTCTCAAAAAAATAAATAAATAGGCCAGGTGCAGTGGCTCATGCTGTAATTCCAGCACTTTGGGAGGCCGAGGCAGGCAGATCACGAAGTCTAGGAGTTCGAGACCAGCCTGGCCAATATGGTGACACCCCCGTCTCTACTAAAAATACAAAAATTAGCTGGGCGTGGTGGCTCGCGCCTTTAGTCCCAGCTACTTGGGAAGCTGAGGCAGAAGAATCGCTTGAACCCAGGAGGCGGAGATTTCAGTGAGCCAAGATGGTGCCACTGCACTCCAGCCTGGGTGACAGAGCAAGACTCTGTCTCAAAAAATAAATAAATAAAATAAAATGTGGCCAGCTGTGGCTCACCGCCTATAATCCTAGCACTTTGGGAAGTTGAGGTGGGTGGATTGCTTGATCTCAGGATTACAGACCAGCCTAGGCAACATAGTGAGACCTCATCTCAATAAATCAATAAATAGGCTGGGCGCAGTGGCTCATGCCTGTAATCCCAGCACTTTGGGAGGCTGAGGTGGGCGGATCACTTGAGGTCAGGAGTTCCAGACCAGCCTTGCCAACATGATGAAACCTTGTCTCTACTAAAAATACAAAAATTAGCTGGGCACGGTGGCACACACCTGTAGTCCCAGCTATTTGGGGGCCTGAGGCAGGAGAATCGCTAGAATCTGGGAAGTGGAGGCAGGCTGCAGTGAGCAGAGATCACTGCCACTGCACTCCAGCCTGGGCAACAGGAGACTCTGTCACAAAAAAAAAAAAAAAAAAAAAAAAGAGTTCAAGACCAGCGTGGCCAACATGGTGAAATCCCCATCTCTACTAAAAATATAAAAATTAGGGGTGCTGGTGCACACCTGTGGTCCCAGCTACTCAGGAGGCTGTGGCAGGAGAATTGCTTGAACCCCAGAGGCAGAGGTTGCAGTGAGCCGAGATTGCACCACTGCACTGCAGCCTGGGCGACAGAGCAAGACTCCATCTCAAAAAAAAAATAAAAATTAAAAAATAAATAAAATGTGAATATTTTCAATATGCCAGAATTACATCCTTGAAACAATTTTTATTTATTTATTTTTATTTTTATTTATTTATTTATTTATTTTTGGAAGGAGTCTCGCTCTGTCACCCAGGCCGGAGTGCAATGGTGCGATCTCGGCTCACTGCAACTGCCTCCCGGGTTCAAGCAATTCTCCTGCCTCAGCCTCTGAGTAGCTGAGGCAGAGAATCAGGTGCCCACCAACTTTCCCGGCTAATTTTTGTATTTTTAGTAGACATGGGGTTTCACCATATTTGCCAGACTGGTCTTGAACTCCTGACTTTAGGTGATCCCCCTGCCTTGGCCTCCCAAAGTTCTGGGATTACAGGCATGAGCCACTGTGCCCGGCCACAATTTTAATTTATGATGAAAATTTTTAGATACCTACTTAAAGATATATGAAGGAGTATATACTTCTTCAAAATTATTTCCCTGAGTATAGGTGCAGAATTTAAGACTGCTGCCCTGGCCGGGCGCAGTGGCTCACACCTGTAATCCCAGCGCTTTGGGAGGCCAAGGCAGGCAGATACCTGAGGTCGGAGTTGGAGACCTGCCTGACTAACATGGAGAAACCTTGTCTCTACTAAAAATACAAAATTAGCAGGGGGCGGTGGCGCATGCCTGTAATCCCAGCTACTCAGGAGGCTGAGGCAGGAGAATCCCTTGAACCCTGGAGGCAGAGGTTGCAGTGAGCCAAGATTGTGCCATTGCACTCCAGCCTAGGTAACAAGAGCAAAACTCCATCTCAAAAAAAAAAGACTGCTGCCCTAAGCTATCCAAGCATCTCCTCCATAGCCCCCAACACTCCCATTTCCCTCCTGTCTCCCCTCTCACCTCCTTGGTGGGGAAAGAAGATGTTTATAGGAAAGGTGGTCACAATTCCAGCTCCTCCTCCTTCTGAGGTGTCCCCAGGAGCCAGTCCCCTAACTTTGCCCATAGTAGTAACCACAGCAGCTTATAAGCAGCCTCCAGCATCAGCAGTGTCAGGAAGAGGGCCAGGAAGATAAAGAAAGCCTTGTCCAAGGCACGTCGCACGGGACCCCTGGGAGGGGAGGGACCCTGGGCAAATGCCAGGAACACATCCGCCTCGTCCACATCACCTTCCTCTGCCATCCTGACTCACAGTCAGACAGCTGGCTGGATCAGGGGGCTGGGATGCAAGGCCTTGCTCAGCACTGCCAGGATTAAGGAGCATGGCTGTGGCAAGTCCTGCACCTGCCAGTCCTGACCTTAATTCCCACACCTAAGAGAAAAGAGAAAGGACCCTATGAGCCTTCAGATCAATTATTTAAACATCCAGTGTGATGTGAAAGGTCTGGACTAAATGATCCATGAACTCTATTCAGCTTTTTCATAGTATAATTCTGTGATTTGGAAACTGAAGGCCCAACATGAAGGCATAAGCTAGAACTGCCTGTCACTCTGGGTCTCAAGTCTCAAAGACTCAAGGCTCAAAATCTTGGGCCCCAACTGATAGAGAGTGAGGAAATGGACCTACCATGCATCTGTGAGCCATGGTCAGTCAAGGATCTAAAGCCCCTTCTGGCTGGATGGTAGGGGGTGAGATGGTCTATCCTAACCAAGGCGGGTAGGAACAAGCAGAGGGGACTTGAGTTCTCACAGGAGTAGTTCTCCCCACTGGGTCTGCAGGCAGCTAAGTTTGAGATGGTATAACCCAGAACACTCTCTTCCTAACTTTTGGTCTCTGCAGTACCAAGGGAGGATTATCATTGACTGCATGAGCCCAAGGGGAGGCTTATAAAAAGACAAAGACCGTGATGGATCAGCAGGGCAAGGGTATGTGATTGGGACTTGGCTGTTGGGTTGGGGTTATTTTACTTTACTTTACTTATTTATTTACAGACGGAGTCTCGCTCTGTCTCCCAGGCTGGAGTGCAGTGGCACGATTTCGGCTCACTGCAACCTCTGTCTCCTGGGTTCAAGAAATTCTCCTTCCTCAACCTCCCAAGTAGCTGGGACTACAGGCATGTGCCACCATGTCCGGCTAATTTTTTTGTATTTTTAGTAGAGACGGGGTTTCACCATGTTGGTCAAGCTGGTCTGGAACTCCTGACCTCAAATGATCCACCCACCTTGGCCTCCCAAAGTGCTGAGATTACAGGTGTGAGCCACTGCACCCAGCCAGGGTAATTTTAAAGAAGAGTGAAGTTTTGCCATCGATGGTCCAGGTCTCAGAGGCTACCAGTGGAGGATGTGGTTGAGGAGGTTGTAGGAGCAAGGACTGAAGACCTTTTCTTTTCTTTCTTTTTTTTTTTTTTTTTGACTGATTGAAGACCTTTTCTTAGGCCAGGCGTGGTGGCTCACGCCTGTAATTCCAGCACTTTGGGAGCCCGAGGCGGATGGATCAATTGAGGTCAGGAGATCAAGACCAGCCTGGCCAACATGGTGAAACCCTGTTTCTACCTAAAATACAAAAATTATCCGGGAGTGGTGGCGCATGCCTGTAATCCCAGCTACTCGGGAAGCTGATGCAGGAGAATCTCTTGAAACTGGGAGGCGGAGGTTGCCATGAGCTAAGATCATGCCGCTGCAACTGCACTCCAACCTGGGTGACAGAGTGAGACTCCGTCTCAAAAAAATAAAAATAAAAAAAGAAGATGTTTTATTGACCCTGTTCCCCAGGCATTGGCCTGAAGGTTGGGTAATGAAATTGAAGCCCATCTGGAAACAAGGGATTCGCCCAAGTGAGGCTGAGGGAGGGGAGGGGGAACGGTGGAGGAAGCAGTGTGTGTAGTAGTGAACCTTATACTGGGAACCTTTGGAGCCTCCTACCTAAACTATTTCATTTTCATTTTCACCTCAATAGGAAGATCTTGTTCCTTTTTTTTTTTTTTTAACCGGATCTTTTTTTTTTTTTGAGATGGAGTCTCGCCCTGTCCCCCGGGCTGGGGTGCAATGGCACGATCTCGGCTCACTGCAACCTCCGCCTCCCGGGTTCAAACCATTCTCCTGCCTCAGCCTCCCAAGTCGCTGGAATTACAGGTACGTGCCACCACGCCTGGCTAATTTTTTGTACCTTTAGTAGAGACGGGGTTTCACAGTGTAGGCCAGGCTGGTCTCGAACTCCTGACCTCGTGATCCACCCACCTCAGCCTCCCAAAGTGCTGGGATTACAGGCATAAGCCACCGCACCCGGGCTACAGGATCTTGCTCTGTCACCCAGGCTGGAGTGTAGTGGCTCAAACGTGGCCCACTGCAGCCTTGATCTCCCCAGCTCAAGCAATCCTCCCATCTTAGCCTCCTGAGTAGTTGGGACCACAGGTGTGTGTCACCACGCCTGGCTCATTTTTGAATTTTGTAGAGACAGGGTCTTTCTATGTTACCCAGGCTGGTTTTTAACTCCTGAGCTTATTAAACAATCCTTCCACCTCAGCCTCCCATCATTCTGGAATTACAAGCATAAGCCACCATGCCTAAGAATACCTTCTTTACTTGGGAAGTCAGGTCACCCCCCAAAAGAGCAGAAATGATGTTATAATGTTGTTTTGAGGGCTGGGCGCGGTGGCTCACGCCTGTAATCCCAGCACTTTGGGAGGCCGAGGTGGGCGGATCACAAGGTCAGGAGATTGAGGCCATCCTGGCAAACACGGTGAAACCCCGTCTCTACTAAAAATACAAAAAATTAGGCCAGGCGCGGTGGCTCACGCCTGTAATCCCAGCACTTTGGGAGGCCGAGGCGGACAGATCACGAGGTCAGGAGATCGAGACCATCCTGGCTAACACGGTGAAACCCCGTCTCTACTAAAAATACAAAAAATTAGCCAGGTGTGATGGCGGGTGCCTGTAGTCCCAGCCACTTGGGAGGCTGAGGCAGGAGAATCACTTGAACCCGGGAGGCAGAGTTTGCAGTGAGCCAAGATCATGCCACTGCACTCCAGATTGGGCGATACAGTGAGACTCCGTCTCAAAAAAAAAAAAAAAAATACAAAAAATTAGCCGGCTGTGGTGGCGGGAGCCTGTAGTCCTAACTACTCGGGAGGCTGAGGCAGGAGAATGGCATGAACCCCAGAGGCGGAGCTTGCAGTGAGCCGAGATTGCTCCACTGCACTCCAGCCTGGGCGACAGAGCGAGACTCTGTCTCAAAAAAAAAATGTTGTTTCAAGTCATGCCGCATTGTCTTTTGCTGCAGCTGCAAAGGAGTCTCGAAAAAGTGAAAAAACCCTGGACTAGAATTTAAACTGATCACTTAGTTGTGTGAAGCTGTGGACAAGTCACATGACCTTTCTTTAGTGTTTTGTTTTGTAATAAAATCAGAAAAAGCTCTTGCCTCCCAGAATTATTCTGAGAGATAAATGAAATAAAGGTTTTTTGATGTTGTTGGTTTTTTGTAAATTATAAAGCACTATGTAAATGTAACATATTAATCTGATACCCTCACTTACATCCCAGGCAAGTGTGCAATAAGGCCACACAAACACCTTTATTGTCTCTTTACATGGTAGGTTCAGCACCAACATCTTGTGTAATAAATAAACCTAGCATCTTGTTGGAATTTTTTTAATTTTGAAATAATTTTCAGCTTACAGAAAAATTTAAGAACAGTTCCAAGAACTTTGGCATGTACCTCTTTCACTCAGATTTTCCATTTGTCAACACTTGGCTGTATTTGTTCCATCTCGCTCTCAACCCCAGTATAACCATGTGTTACAGGTTGAATTGTGTCTCCTAAAAATTCATATGTTGTGCAGCCATAAAAATGAATAAGGGCTGGGCTGGGCGCAGTGTCTCATGCCTGTAATCCCAGCACTTTGGGAGACCGAGGCGGGCAGATCACAAGTTCAAGAGATCGAGACCATCCTGGTTAACACACTGAAAGCCCATCTCTACTAAAAATACAAAAAACTAGCCGGGTGTGGTGGTGGGCGCCTGTAGTCCTAGCTACTCAGGAGGCTGAGGCAGGGGAGTGGCTTGAACCCGGGAGGCGGAGGTTGTGGAGAGCTGAGATCGCACCACTGCACTCCAGTCTGGCAACAGAGTGAGTTGTTGCCAAAAAAAAAAAGAAAAAAGAACAAGATCAGGCCAGGCACGGTGGCTTATGCCTGTAATCCCAGAACTTTGAGAGGCCAAGGTGGGCAGATCACAAGGTCAGGAGTTTGAGACTAGCCTGGCCAACATGGCAAAAACCCATATCTACTAAAAATACAAAAATTAGCTGGGCATGGTGGCAGGCCCCTATAATTCCAGCTAGTGACATGGGAGGCTGAGGCAGGAGAATCACTTGAACCCAGGGGGCCGAGGTTGCAGTAAGCTGTGATCTCACCATTGCACTCCAGCCCCAGTGACAGTACGAGACTCCTCTCACAAAAAAAAAAAAAAAAAAAAAGGTGAAGAATTCATTTGTTCGCATGTTCTCACTTACAAGTGATGATGAGAATACACGGACACACGGTGGGAAACAACACAACTGGGTCCTGTCTGGGGGAGTGGGGGAAGGAAGGGCACCAGGAAGAATAGCTAATGGATGCTGGGCTTAATACCTGGGTGATGGGATGATCTGTGCAGCAAATCACCATTGCACACGTTTACCTATGTAACAAACCTACACATCGCACACATGTACCCCTGAACTTAAAATAAAAGTCGAAGGAAAAAAATAAAATTTATATAATGAAGTCCTAACTCCCAGTTCCTCAGAATGTAACCTTATTTGGAAATAAGGTTGTTGCATATGTAATTGGTTCAATGAGGTCATACTGGAGTTGAGTGGGCCTCTCACCCCCTTTATTAGAAAGGAAGTTTGGACATAGGCTTGCGGATAGAGAGAATGACATGTGACCATGAAGGCAGAGATCAGGTTGATATGTCAAAGATTGCCAGCAGGCCAGGCACCATGGCTTATGCCTGTAATCCCAGCACTTTGGGAGGCCAACACAGGTGGATCACCTGAGGTCAGGAGTTCGAGACCAGCCTGGCCAACATAGTGAAATCCCATCTCTACTAAAAATACAAAAAATTGGCCGAGCACAATGGCTCACGCCTGTAATCCCAGCACTTTGGGAGGCTGAGGCGGGCAGATCACGAGGTCAGGAGTTCAAGACCAGCCTGGTCAACATGGTGAAACCCTGCCTCTACTAAAAATACAAAAATTGGCAGGGCATGGTCATGGGCACCTGTAATTCCAGCTATTCTGGAGGCAGGAGAATTGCTTGAACCTGGAGGCGGAGGTTGCAGTGAGCTGAGATCGTGTCACTGCACTCCAGCCTGGGCGACAGAGCGAGACTCTGTTTCAGAAAAAAAAAAAAAAAAATACAAAATGTTAGCCGGGCGTGGTCGTGGGTGCCTGTAATCCCAGCTACTCAATCGGGAGGCTGAGGCAGGAAAATTGCTTGAACCTGGGAGGCAGAGGTTGCACTGAGCCGAGATCTTGCCATTGCACTCCAGCCTGGGTGACAGAGCAAGATTCCGTCTCAAAACACACACACACACACACACACACACACACACACACAAAAGACTGCCAGCAAACCACCGGAAACTAGTAGAAAGGCCTGGAACAGATTCTCCCTTACACCCCTCAGAAAGAACCAACCCTGCCTACACCTTGATCTCAGACTTCCAGCCTCCAGAACTGTAAGGCAATACATTTCTGCTGTTTAAGTCTCCCAGTTTGTGATACTTTGTTATGGCAGCCCTAGCAAACTAAAACACCATTCTAATCAGGAAATCAATATCACTCTTCAATTCATAGATCCCATTCAGATTTCACCAGCTGTCCCAGTAATGACCGCCTCTTCTTTTTTAAATTATCTTTTTTTTTTTTTTTTTTTTTGGAGACAGGTCTGTCACCCAGGCTGGAGTGCAGTGGTGCGATCTCGGTGCACTACAACCTCCACCTTCCGGGTTCAAACAATTCTCCTGCCTCAGCCTCCCAAGTAGCTGGGACTATAGGCACACGCCGCCACAGCCAGCTAATTTTTTGTATTTTAGCAGAGACGGGGTTTCACCATGTTGTTCAGGCTGGTCTTGAACTCCTGAGCTCAGGCAATCCACCCGCCTAGGCCTCCCAAAGTGCAATTATCTTTTCTTTTAACAGCTGTTTTTTTCTTTTTCTTTTTTTTTTTTTTGAGATGAGGTCTCACTCTGTTGCCCAGGCCAAAGTGCAGTGGTGCTATCAAGAGCTCACTGCAGCCTCAAACTCCTGGGCTCAAGTGATCCTCCCACCTGAGCCTTCCAAAGTGCTGGGACTACAGATGCGTGCCACCATACTTGGCCTATCTGTCCTTTCTAGTCCAGGATCACATACTGCATTTGACTGTCACATATCTATCTGTAGTCTCCTTCAATCTGGGAAGTTCTCAGTCTTTCCTTGTCTCTCATGAATTTGACAGTTTTGAAGAGGTCTTTCATTTCTTTCTTTTTTTTCTTTTCTTTTCTTTTTTTTTTTAAACAGGTTCTTGCTCTGTCGCCCAGGCTAGAGTGCAGTAGCAGGATCATAGCTCACTGCAGCCTCAAATTCCTCGGCTCAAGCAATCCTCCCACCTCAGCATTCTGAGTAGCTGCGGCTACAGGTGTGTGCCAGCACATCCGGGGAATTTAAACATTATTTGTAGGCTGGGCACAGTGGCTCATGCCTGTAATCCCAGCACTTTGGGATGCCGAGGCAGGCAGATCACAAGGTCAGGAGTTTGAGACCAGCCTGGCCAGCGTGGTGAAACCCCATCTCTACTAAAACTCCAAAAAATTAGCCAGGCATGGTGGCACATGCCTGTAATCCCAGCTAGCTACACAGGAGGCTGAGGCAGGAGAATTGCGTGAAACCGGGAGGCAGAGGTCACAGTGAGCCGAGATTGTGCCAATATGCTCCACCCTGGGAGTCAGAGCAAAACTCCATCACAAGAAAAAAAAAAAAAAAGACAGGACTTTCTACTTGCTAGCCTCTCTATTGCTGGCTTTGATGATGTAAGATGCCATATTGGAGAAACCCACATGGCAAGAAACTAGGTGTGGTCTCCAAACACTAACCAACAGGGAACTGAGACCCTCAGTCAAAAAACCCTTTAGAAACTGAATCCTGCAAACAGCTATGTGAGTGAGCTTAGAAGCAAAACCTTCCCCAGTTAAGCTTTATTTTTATTTTTATTTTTATTTTTTTTGAGACAGAGTCTTGCTCCGTCACCCAGGCTAGAGTGCAATGTGCTATCTCGCCTCATTGCAACCTCCACCTCCCAGGTTCAATCGATTCTCCTGCCTCAGCCTCCCAAGTAGCTGGGATTACAGGTGCCCGCCACAACACCCAGCTAATTTCTGTATTTTTAGTAGAAACCGGGTTTCACCAGGTGGGCCAGGCTGGTCTGGAACTCCTGACCTCAGGTGATGCACCTGCCTCAGCCTTCCAAAGTGCTGGGATTACATGCATGAGCCACTGAGCCCGGCCCTGAGCTTTCAGATGAGATCACAGGCAACTCATAGACTGCAGTCTTATGAGAGCCTCCGAAGCAGAGGATCCAGCTAAGCTGTTCCCAGATTTCTCCCCCACAGAAGCCATCAGATAACAGTGTGTTGTTTTGAGCCACCGGGTTTTGGGGTAATTTGTTACACAGCAATAGATAACTCATACACTGTGCTAGAATTGAGCACCAGATCTTCAGTAACAGATACACCCATATATTCCTTCCAAATTTATTCTTTTAACATTTATGATATGTGGGGCCTTCTGAAATGTGGGGCTCCAGGCAGGATCTCCTCTTGCTTGGATATAAGAGCAGCACTAGAATTAGTCTATCAGTCTTCACATTTTCTTGCTTGCATGCTCCTTAAAAACATTTTGGAAAATTATGTGCCATTTTGTATATATTTTTATTTGGCATCTAATTTTTTTCCTTGTTGATTTAAATAACTGCAAAGAGTATAACAAATCGGCTTGGTGCAATGGCTCACACCTGTAATCCCAGTACTTTGGGAGGCCGAGGCAGGTGGATAACGAGGTCAGGAGTTCAAGACCAGCCTGGCTAACATAGTGAAACCCTGTCTGTACTAAAAATACAAAAATTAGCTGGGCATGGTGGCGTATGCCTGTAATCCCAGCTACTCGGGAGGCTGAAGCACAAGAATTGCTTGAACCTGGGAGGCGGTGGTTGCAGTGAGCCGATATCATACCACTGCATTCCAGCCTGGGCAACAGAGCGAGACTCCATCTCAGAAAAAAAAAAAGAGTGTAACAGATCTTGTGTCTTATATAAATATTGACATTGTAAAATAAAACTGTCAACTGGGCACGGTGGCTCACGCCTGTAATTCTAGCACTTTGGGAGGCCGAGGCAGGCGGATCACGAGGTCAAGGGATCGAGACCAGCCTGGCCAACATGGTGAAACCCCATCTCTACTAAAAATACAAAAATTAGCTGGGCGTGGTGGCACGCGCCTGTAGTCCCAGCTAATGAGGAGGCTGAGGCAGGAGAATAGCTTGAACCCAGGAGGAGGAGGTTGCAGTGAGCTAAGATCACACCACTGCACTCCAGCCTGGCTGACAGAGCCAAACTCCATCTCAAAAAAACAAAAACAGGCTGGGTGCGGTGGCTCACGCTTGTAATCACAGCACTATGGGAGGCCGAGACAGGCGGATCACGAGGTCAGGAGATCGAGACAATCCTGACTAACACGGTGAAACCCCGTCTCTACTAAAAATACAAAAAAATTAGCCGGGCATAGTGGCGGGCGCCTGTAGTCCCAGCTACTCGGGAGGCTGAGGCAGAATGGCGTGAACCTGGGAGGCGGAGCTTGCAGTGAGCCAAGATCGCGCCACTGCACTCCAGCCTGGGCAACAGAGCCAGGCTCCATCTCAAAAAAACAAACAAAACAAAAACAACAAAAAAAACAAAAAACTGTCTGGCTGGGTGCAGTGGCTCACGCCTGTAATCCTAGCACTTTGGGAGGCTGAGGTGAGTGGATCACCTGAGGTCAGGAGTTCAGACCAATCTGGCCAACATAGTGAAACCTTGTCTCTACCAAAAATACAAAAATTAGCCAGGCATGGTGGCACATGCCTGTAATCCCAGCTACTCCCGGGTTCAAGCAATTCTTGTGCCTCAGCCTCCCAAGTAGATGGGATTACAGGTGTGCACCACCACACACCTGGCTAATATTTTTGTATTTTTAGTAGAGATGGGGTTTCACCATGTTGGCTAGGCTGGTCTGGAACTCCTGACCTCAGGTAATCTGCTCGCCTCAGCCTCCCAAAATGCTGGGATTACAGGCATGAGCCACCACACCTGGCCACAAAATAAATAAGGAAATAAATAAATATATATATGTAAAATATATATATGTAATATATGTAAAATATACATGTTATATATGTAAATATATATATATATACACACATATAGTTTGTTTGTTTTTGAGATGGAGTTTTGCTCTTGTTGCCCAGGCTGGAGTGCAATGGCACGATCTTGGCTCACTGCAACCTCCGCCTCCCGGGTTCAAGCGATTCTCCTGCCTCAGCCTCCTGAGTAGCTGGGAATACAGGCATGCACCACCACGCCTGGATAATTTTTTATTTTTAGTAGAGATTGGGTTTCTCCATATTGGTCAGGCTGGTCTCGAACTCCTGACCTCAGGTGATCCACCCACCTCGGCCTCCCAAAGTGCTGAGATTATAGGTGTGAGCCACTGCACCCAGCCCGCTCTGTCTTAAATATGAGTGCCCAGTTAAGGAACACCAGATATTTGAGGAAGACTTCAGACATGAGCAAAAACCCAAAATTAAAAGTAAAAACGACACAGCATTGTGCTCTTCGCCTTCCCTCATCGTCTGGCGCAGGGCAGCCCACTTCTGGTGTTTGGCGCTGGAATTAAACAACCACCATGTGGAGCAAAAAGGCAAGACCAAGACCACCAAAAAGCGCCCTCAGCGCACAACATCCAACGTGTTTGCCATGTTTGACCAGTCACAGATTCAGGAGTTCAAAGAGGCCTTCAACATGATTGATCAGAACAGAGATGGTTTCATCAACAAAGAAGATTTGCATGATATGCTTGTTTCCCTAGGGAAGAATCCCACCGATGCATACCTTGATGCCATAATGAATGAGGCACCAGGGCCCATCGATTTCACCATGTTCCTCACCATATTTGGTGAGAAGTTAAATGGCACAGATCCTGAAGATGTCATTGGAAATGCTTTTGCTTGCTTTGATGAAGAAGCAACAGGCATTATTCAGGAAGATTACCTGAGAGAGCTGCTGATAACCATGTGGGATCGGTTTACGGATGAGGAAGTGGATGAGCTGTACAGAGAAGCGCCTATTAACAAAAAGGGGAATTTCAATTACATCGAGTTCACATGCATCCTGAAACATGGAGCAAAAGACAAAGACGACTGAAAAGAACTTTAGCTAAAACCTTCCAACTACATTGTCTTACTCTGTTTTATTTCTCAGACACTTCCCCCATCCTCATAGAACCTGTTGCATGCAACTTAGTTTCACAGCTTTGCCTCTTTTTTTTTTTGATGTATTTATTCCAGACCTTTCTGTCACACAGCACTTGTATAATCAGACTGAAAATGGGGATGAGGGTGTAAATTGTATTGAAAAAGAGATCATGGCCGGGCGCAGTGGCTCACGCCTGTAATCCCAGCAACTTGGGAGGCCGAGGCGGGTGGATAACCTGAGGTCAGGCGTTCAAGACCACGCTGACCAACATGGTGAAACCCCGTCTCTACTAAAAATACAAAAAGTTAGTTGGGCGTGGTGGCGGGCACCTGTAATCCCAGCTACTCAGGAGGCTGAGGCAGGAGAATCGCTTGAACCCAGGAGGCAGAAGTTGCAGTGAACCAAGATCACACCGTTGCACCCCAGCCTGGGCAACAAGAGCAAAATTCAGTCAAAAAAAAAAAAAAGAAAGAAAGAAAAGAAAAGAAGGCCAGGCACGGTGGCTCACGCCTGTAATCCCAGCACTTTGGGAGGCTGAGGCGGGTGGATCACGAGGTCAGGAGATCGAGACCATCCTGGCTAACACGGTGAAACCCCGTCTCTACTAAAAATACAAAAACATTAGTCAGGCATGGTGGTGGGCTCCTGTTGTCCCAGCTACTCGGGAGGCTGAGGCAGGAGAATGGCATGAAGCCAGGAGGCAGAGCTTGCAGTGAGCCGAGATTGAGCCACTGCACTCCGGCCTGGGCGACAGAGTGAGACTCCGTCTCAAAAAAAAAAAAAAGAAAAGAAGAAAAAGAAAAAGAGATAGCAAATAAAAATCAACAAATGTGAAAAAAAAAAAGTAAAAACAAACATGGAGGAAAGAGACAGAAGAGGAAAACTTCATATAAACTGTAATAAATTTCCACACTGATGAGAGAAAATGAGTATCAGAAGAAGAAGAAGAGTTGTAAGATCAACAGGATATGAGAAATGAAAACTTGAGCCAGGTGCAGTGGCTCACACCTGTAATCCCAGCACTTTGGGAGGCTGAGGCAGCCAGATCACTTGAGGTCAGGAGTTCAAGACCAGCCTGGCCAACATGGTGAAACCCTGTCTCTACTAAAAACACGAAAATTAGTCGGGTGTGGTCATGGGTGCCTGTAATCCCAGCTATGCAGGAGGCTGAGGCAGGAGAATCGCTTGAGCCTGGGAGGCGGTGGTTGCAGTGAGCCGAGATCGCACCACTGCACTCTAGCCTGGGTGACAGAGTGAGACTCCATCTCAAAAAAAAAAAAGAGGAAAAAAGAAAAAAAAACTTGAACCCAATTATAAGATCTAGATTTTGGCCAGGTGCGGTAGCTCATGCCTGTAATCTCAACACTTAAGAGGCTGAGGTAGGAGGATTGCTTGAGCCCAGACATTTGAGACCAACCTGGGTAACATAGGGAGACTTGTCTCTACAAATAATTTAAAAATTAACAGGCAGGGCGCAGTGGCTCATGCCTGTAATCCCAGCACTTTGGGAGGCCAGGGCAGGCAGATCATGTGAGGTCAGGAGTTCGAGACCAGCATGACCAAAATGGTGAAACCCCATCTCTACTAAAAATACAAAAAAAAATTAGCGGGGCATGGTGGCTCGCACCTGTAATCCCAGCTACTTGGGAGGCTGAGACAGGGGAATTATTTGAACCCAGCAGGTGGAAGTTGCAGTGAGCCAAGATCGCACCATTGCATTCCAGCCTGTGTGACAGAAAGACTCTGTCTCAAGAGGAAAAAAAAAAACATTAGCCAGGGCCGGTCGCGGTGGTTCATGCCTGTATTCCCAGCACTTTGGGATCCCAAGGTGGGCAGATCACTTGAGGTTAGGAATTCGAGACCAGCCTGACCAACATGATGAAACCCCGTCCCTACTAAAAATACAAAAAAATTAGCTGGGTGTGGTGGTGCATGCCTGTAATCCCAGTTACTCGTGAGGCTAAGGCAGGAGAATTGCTTGAACTTCGGAGATTTTGCAGTGAGCCAAGATTGGGCCACTTGCACTCCAGCCTGGGTGACAAAGCAAGACTTCCTCTCAAAAAAAAGAAATCCATGGCCGGGCGCAGTGGCTCACGCCTGTAATCCCAGCACTTTGGGAGGCCGAGATGGGTGGATCACGAGGTCAGGAGATCTAGACCATCCCGGCTAACATGGTGAAACCCCATTTCCACTAAAAATACAAAAAATTAGCCAGGCATGGTGGCGGGCACCTCTAGTCCCAGCTACTTGGGAGGCTGAGGCAAGAGAATGGTGTGAATCCGGGAGGCGGAGCTTGCAGTGAGCCGAGATTGTGCCACTGCACTCCAGCCTGGACAACAGGGAGAGACTCTGTCAAAAAAAAAAAAAAAAAGAAATCTCAAAAAAGAAAGAAAAATGGCCAGGCACAGTGGCTCATGCCTGTAATCCCAGCAGTTTGGGAGGCTGAGGTGGGCACATCAACTTAGGTCAGGAGTTCGAGACTAGCATGATCAACATGGTGAACCCTGTCTCTACTAAAAATACAAAATTAGCCTGATGTAGTGGCACATGCCTCTAGTCCCAGCTACTCAGGAGGCTGAGACAGGAGAATCACTTGACAGGAGGCAGAGGTTCTGGTGAGCTGAGATCACACCATTGCACTCCAACCTGGGCAACAAGAGTGAAACCCCAGTTTAAAAAAAAAAGGAAAAAAAAAGAAAAAAAAAAAACCACGGTAGCGTGCACCTGTGTTTCCAGCTATTCAGGAGGCTGAGGCAGGAGGATCATCTGACCTGGAGGTCAAGGCTGCAGTGAGCCATGATCACACCACTGCACTCCAGCTTGGGCAACATAGTGAGACTCTGTCACGAAGCCTGCAGTGCAGTGACGAGATCTTGGCTCACTGCAATCTCTGCATCTCAGGTTCAAATGATTCTCTGCCTCAGCCTCCCAAGTAGCTGGGATTTACTGGCATTTGCCACCATGCCTGGCTAGTTTTTGAATTTTTTTAGTAGAGACAGTGTTTTGCCATGTTGGCCAGGCTGGTCTGTACCTAATTTTGTATTTATACTTTTGGTTTTTTTTTTTTTTTTGAGACGGAGTCTCGTTCTGTTGCCCTGGCTGGAGTGCAGTGGCGTGATCTCAGCTCACTGCAACCTCCGCCTCCTGGGTTCAAGCGATTCTCCTGCCTCAGCCTCCTGAGTAACTGGGATTATAGGCACTCACCACCGTGCCTGGCTAATTTTTATATTTTTTTTTAGTAAAGATGGGGTTTGGCCATGTTGGCCAAGCTGGTCTCAAACTCCTGACTTCAGGTGATCTGCCCACCTCGGCCTCCCAAAGTGCTGGGATACTTTTGGTATTCTTTCTCTTAAAACAGGTATCCAAAATTGTACACGTGTCAGCCTCCCACCAACCTACATCTGCTGCACTTGCAGAGATAGAGTCTATATATATAAGCATGTATTAATATATATAAGTGTATATGTATAAATGTATACATACATATAAATACATGATCACTACTCTTTTCCTTGCTTTTCCTCACTTAATACCTTGAAATCAAACAGAGAGGTGCTTCCTTCTTTTTTTTTTTCGGAGTCGGAGTCTTGTTCTGTTGCCCAGGCTGGAGTGCAGTGGCCCAATCTCGGCTCACTGCAACCTTCACCTCACAAGTTTAAGTTTTTCTTCTGCCTCAGCCTCCCAAGTAACTTGGACTACAGGCGCACACCACCATGCCTGGCTAATTTTTGTATTTTTAGTAGAGATGGGGTTTCACCATATTGGCCAGGCTGGTCTCGAACTCCTGACCTCATGATCCTTCTGACTTGGCCTCCCAAAGTGCTGAGATTACAGGCTTGAGCCACCACGCCCGGCCTCTTTTTTTTTTTTTTTTTTTTTAAATTTAATTTAATGGAGATGAGTTCTCTCAATATGTTGCCCAGAGTAGTCTCAAATTCTTGGGCTCAAGTGATCCACCTACCTTGGCCTCCCAAAGTGCTGGGATTATAGGAGTGAGCCACCGCACCCGACCCCTTGTTTGTTATAGTGCTCCCTTGACTCTCAAAAATGTCCAGTGTAGGCCAGGCGTGGTGGTTCACACCTATAATCCCAGCACTTTGGGAGGCCAAGGCAGGTGGATCACTTGAGGTCAGGAGTTTAAGACTTGCCGGGCTAACATGGTAAAACCCTGTCTACAAAAAATACAAAAATTAGCTGTGCGTGGTGGTGCGCACCTGTAATCCCAGCTACTCAGGAGGCTGACTGAGGCAGGAAGACTGCTTGAACCTGGGAGGCAGAGGCGGAGGTTGTAGTGAGCTGAGATTGTGCCACCGCACTCTAGAGCAAGACTCCATCTCAAAAAAAAAATGTCTAGTGTAAATGTATGTTCTTTGAAGTAGAATTGCTAGGTCAAAGAATACGTAAATACTTGATTTGGGTAGATATTTTTAAAATGCTTTCTGTAGAAGCCGCACCAGTGTACCTTCCTTCCTGTCGGCAATGTGTGACAGTACCAGTTTCCTTTCCCCACCCCATCAGCTGAGTGTGTTATCAAACTTTTTTTTTTTTTTTTTTTTTGAGACAGAGTCTCTCTCCATCGCTCAGCCTGGAGTGCAGTGGCATGATCTCGGCTCAATGCAACCTCCACCTCCTAGGTTCAAGCCATTCTCATGCCTCAGCCAATAGCTGTGATTACAGGTGCATGCCACCACCGGCTGATTTCTGTATTTTTAGTAGAGACAGGGTTTTGCCATGTTTTTTTGTTTGTTTTGAGACAGGATCTTTCTCTGTTGCCCAGGCTAGAGTGCAGTGGCATGAACATGGATGGTTCACTGCAGCCTCGACCTCCTGGGTTCAAGTGATCCTTTTGTCTCAGCCTCCCAAGTAGCTGGGATTCCAGGTGGGAGCCACCATGCCCTCCTAAACTCTACCTTTTGGTGAGAGTGACTAGCCACCAAGGCACACTGTAAAGGCCTCAGATAACAGGAAGTGGTAGAGAACTGCAGCCAATCTAACACCTAGACAAATTCAAGGTGGGACCTATCAGGTACTATGCTTGTTACTTGGGTGATTAAATTACCTGTACACCAAAGCCCCATGACACACACTTTACCTATATAAGGAACCTACACATGTACCCCTGAACCTAAAATAAAAGTTAAAAAATAAAATAATATAATTCAAAGTTTGGGCTACAGAGTATAAGTGAGAGATATTCAGCTACTGGGAGTTTATAAAAGACACACAAACATCGCACAAGAGCAAAAGTCAATTTGAACATCCACCACAGCCAGAGGAAACCAAAACCACTTCCAGTGTATGGCCGTCAGGTAAAGCATTTTGTCCCCCTCACCTCCTCTGCTTCTGGCTGTGAGGGAGAGGGTGGAGAGTCAGACACAGGAAGGCAAGAAAGAAATTCTTGAGGAAGCCAGCCACTCTGCCAGTTTCACACTGGCAGCTTCCCATGTCAAACCACTCAGTCGGAGCTGGCCGAGAGAAAAAACGTAATTCAGAATGATGCTTGGAGGATTTTTTTTTTTGTTCCAAGGATTGAGCAGGTATGCTCTGTGGCCTGCCTGAGTTATCTTTCATGGGCAATGGAAGAACTAGCCCCACACAACATATTTAAAGGGGTGGGGACACTTGAGTGTGGGGGGTGCACAGCAACATATTCAAGCTTATGTACATGGCATCTGAGGTCGGGGCATGGAAGAATACTGAGGCACTGTGTGTATGTTATTTGTGCGTGAGAATGAAATTCCTTGACCCTGAAAACAGGACAGGGAGTGGAGTGTGTGGTGTGATAAGGAACGCTGAAAACAGCCTCCTGAGAATGCGGTTTGAGTGCTTTTACGAGGCCGCAGGTGTCTCACGACCCGACCTCAAAAAGCCATCTAGTGGATGTTTGTGGTTTAACAAGCACTTTCAATAAATACTTGGCAGACGGATGCTGGGGCGGGTTCTCTTAGAAGAAATGCCCCCCCCATTCCCCCGGCCCCACTCAGCTGGAATTGTCTAAGAACTCATTCTTGGCGTTCACTGCAAGCTATAAACTCTGCAAGTGGTGCACCCGACGTGATCGCCTTGAAGTTATGCGTGAAAGGAGGAGAGCTCATCAATTTTCAGAAAATCCCGGTAAGGGACAGTCCTGACTACCATCAGGTGGACAGGACCCACGCGAAAAATACCAGGGGTTCGGTTATCATGGGTCAGGAAATGAACAAAGAATAATTTTTTTTTTTTTTTGAGATGGAGTCTCACTCTGTCGCCCAGGCTGGAGTGCAGTAGCGTGATCCCGGCTCACTGCAACCTCCACCTCCCTGGTTCAAGCTATTCTCCTGCCTCAGCCTCCTGAATAGCTGGGATTACAGGTGCACGTCACCCCACAACAGGACTTAATTAACCTTGCCTTCAAGGTGTACAATAATAGAGAAAAGTTACAATTACTTGCCTCTGCTGTGAGACAAAACCCAGCTGCACCTCCAGCACACGAGAACTTCAAAATGCCTAAGCCGCACATGCCTAAACCGCAGTGGTCAAGCATTCCTACAGGACCTTCTTCATCAGGATCTTGCTTCAAGTGCCAGAAATCTGGCCACTGGGCCAAGAAATGCCCACAGCCCGGGATTCCTCCTAAGCCGTGTCCCATCTGTGCAGGACCCCACTGAAAATCAGACTGTCCCACTCGCCTCGCAGTCACTCCCAGAGCTCTGGGATCTCTGGCCCAAGACTCTCTGACTGACTCCTTCCCAGATCTTCTCAGCTTAGCGGCTGAAGACTGATGCTGTCCGATCACCTTCGAAGCCTCCCGGGCCATCACGGACACTTTGGGTAACTCTTACAGTGGAGGGTAAGTCACCCTTCTTAATCAATATGGAGGCTACCAACTCCACATTACCTTCTTTTCAAAGGCCTATTTCCTTTGCCTCCATAACTGTTGTGGGTATTCATGGCCAGGCTTCTAAACCTCTTAAAACTCCCCAACTCTGGTGCCAACTTGGACAATATTCTTTTATGCACTCCTTTTTAGTTATCCCCACCTGCCCAGCTCCCTTATTAGGTCGAGACATTTTAACTAAATTATCTGCTTCCCTGACTAATCCTAGGCTACAGCCACATTTCGTTGCTGCCCTTTTCCCCAGTTCAAAGCCTCCTTCACGTCCTTCTCTTTTATCTCCTCACCTTAATCCACAGGTATGGGACACCTCTACTCCCTCCCTGGTGAACTATCCACGCCCATTACTATCCCATTAAAACCTAATCACCCTTACCCCGCTCAATGCCAGTATCCCATCCCACAGCATGCTTTAAAAGGATTAAATCCTGTTATCACTCACCTGTTACAGCATGGCCTTTTAAAGCCTATAAACTCTCCTTACAATTCCCCCATTTTACCTGTCCAAAAACCAGATAAGCCTTACAGGTTAGTTCAGGATCTGCGCCATATCGACCAAATTGTTTTGCCTATCCACCCTGTGGTGCCAAACCCATATACTCTCCTATCCTCAATACCTCCCTCCACAACCCATTATTCTGTTCTAGATAAACCTAGCTGACCCCATAGATCCTAAATCCTTTCTCCTCTCCCCTTTCCATTCCTTAAAACACAGCTCCCACACTAGCTCTCCATGACTCATCCCGACCCTTTTCATTACACACAGCCGAAGTGCAGGGCTGTACAGTCAGAATTCTTACACAAGGACCAGGACCGCACCCTGTAGCCTTTTTGTCCAAACAACTTGACTTACTGTTTTAGGCTGGCCATCATGTCTCCGTGCAGTGGCTGCCACTGCCCTAATACTTTTACAGGCCCTCAAAATCACAAACTATGCTCAACTCACTCTCTACAGTTCTCATAAATCTATTTTCTTCCTCACATCTAACACGTATACTTTCTGCTCCCCGGCTCCTTCAGCTGTACTCATTCTTTGTTGAGTCTCCCACAGTTACCATTGTTCCTGGCCAGGACTTCAATCCAGCCTCCCACATTATTCCTGATACCACACCTGACCCCCATGACTGTATCTCTCTGATCCACCTGACATTCACCCCATTTCCCCGTATTTCCTTCTTTCCTGTTCCTCACCCTGATCACACTTGGTTTATTGATGGTAGTTCTACCAGGCCTAATTGCCACACACCAGCAAAGGCAGGCTATGCTATAGTATCTTCCACATCTATCATTGAGGCTACTGCTCTGCCCCTCTCCACTACCTCTCGGCAAGCTGAACTCATTGCCTTAACTCGAGCCCTCACTTTTGCAAAGGGACTACATGTCAATATTTATACAACTCTAAATATGCCTTCCATATCCTGCACCACCATATTGTTATATGGGCAAAAAGAGGTTTCCTCACTACGCAAGGGTCCTCTGTCATTAATGCCTCTTTAATAAAAACTCTTCTCAAGGCCGCTTTACTTCCAAAGGAAGCTGGAGTCATTTACTCCAAGGGCCATCAAAAGGCGTCAGATCCCATCGCTCAGGGCAATGCTTTTGCTGATAAGGTAGCTAAAGAAGCAGCTAGCATTCCAAATTCTGTCCCTCACGGCCAATTTTTCTCATTCTCATGGGTCACTCCCACCTACTCTCCTGCTGAAACTTCTACCTATCAGTCTCTTCCCACACAAGGCAAATGGTTCTTGGACCAAGGAAAATATCTCCTAACAGCCTCACAGGCCCATTCTATTCTGCTGTCATTTCATAACCTCTTCCATGTAAGTTACAAGCTGCTAGCCCACCTCTTAGAACCTCTCATTTCCTTTCCATCGTGGAAATCTATCCTCAAGGAAATCACTTCTTAGTGTTCCATCTGCTATTCTACTACTCCTCAGGGAGTGTTCAGGCTCCCTCCCCTCCCTACACATCAAGCTCAGGGATTTGCCCCTGCCCAGGACTGGCAAATTGACTTTACTCACATGCCCCAAGTCAGGAAACTAAAATACCTCTTGGTCTGGGTAGACACTTTCACTGGATGGGTAGAGGCCTTTCCAACAGGGTCTGAGAAGGCCACTGCGGTCATTTCTTCCCTTCTGTCAGACATAATTCCTCGCTTTGGCCTTCCCACCTCTATACAGTCCAATAACAGACTGGCCTTTATTAGTCAAATCACCCAAGCAGTTTCTCAGGCTCTTGGTATTCAGTGGAACCTTCATACCCCTTACCATCCTCAATCTTCAGAAAAAGTAAAACAGACTAATAGTCTTTTAAAGACACACCTCACCAAGCTCAGCCTCCAACTTAAAAAGACTGGACAGTACTTTTACCACTTGCCCTTCTCAGAATTCGGGCCTGTCCTCGGAATGCTGCAGGATACAGCCCATTTGAGCTCCTGTATGGATGCTCCTTTTTATTAGGCCCCAGTCTTATTCCAGACACCAGCCCAACTCGGACTGCACCCCAAAAACTTGTCATCCCTTCTATCTTCTGTCTAGTCATACTCCTATTCACCATTCTCAACTACTCATAAATGCCCTGCTCTTGTTTACACTGCCGGTTTACACTGTTTCTCCAAGCCGTCACAGCTGGTATCTCCTGGTGCTATCCCCAGACCGCCACTCTTAACTCCCTCTTAAAGTAAATAAATAATATTTGCTGGCAGGGCACACTCCAATACTTTCACCCTGATGAAGTCCTATTCTTTACTTTTATACTCACTCCTATTCTTGTTCCCATTTTTATGCCACCCTCTACCTCTCCCCAGCTAGCTCCACCACACTATCAATCTCATTCACTCTCTCCTAGCCGTTTCTAATCCCTCATCGAACCATTGCTGAATTTGCATTTCCCTTTCTTCCTGCGCCTACACAGCTGTCCCCGCCTTACATACAGACTGGGCAACCTCTCCTATCTCCCTACACCTCCAAACTTCCTTTAACAGCCCTCACCTTTACCTTCCTAAAGAACTTCTTTACTTTCTAGACAGGTCCAGCAAGACTTCCCCAGACATTTCACTTCAGCAAGCTGCCGCCCTCCTCCACACTTACTTAAAAAACCTTTCTCCTTATATCAACTCTACTCCCCCCATATTTGGACCCCTCACAACACAAACTACTATTCCTGTGGCCGTTCCTTTATGTATCTCTCGGCAAAGACCCACTGGAATTCCCCTAGGTAATCTTTCACCTTCTTGATGTTCCTTTACTCTTCATCTCCGAAGCCCAACTACACACATCACTGAAACAATTGGAGCCTCCCAGCTCTGTATTACAGATAAGCCCTCTATCAATACTGGCAAACTTAAACACATTAGCAGTTATTATTGCTTAGGAAGACACTTACCCTGTATTTCACTCCATCCTTGGCTACCTTCCCCTTGCTTGTCAGACTCTCCTCCCAGGCCCTCTTCTTGTTTGCTTATACTCAGCCCCGTAAATAACAGTGAAAGGTTGCTCGTAGACACTCAAAGTTTTCTCATACACCATGAAAATCAAACCTCCCCCTCTACGTAGTTACCCCATCAGTCCCCATTACAACCTCTGACGGCTGCCGCCCTAGCTGGATCCCTAGGAGTCTGGGTACAAGACACCTCTTTCAGCACTCCTTCTCATCTTTTTACTTTGCATTTCCGGTTTTGCTCCGCACAAGGTCTCTTCTTCCTCTGTGGATCCTCTACCTACATGTGTCTACCTGCTAATTGGACAGGCACATGCACACTAGTTTTCCTTACTCCCAAAATCAATTTGCAAATGGGACTGAACATCTTCCTGTTCCCCTCATGACACCGACACAACAAAAAAGAGTTATTCCGCTAATTCCCTTGCTTGTCGGTTTAGGACTTTCTGCCTCCACTATTGCTCTCGGTACTGGAATAGTAGGCATTTCAACCTCTGTCACGACCTTCCATAGCCTCTCTAATGACTTCTCTGCTAGCATCACACACATATCACAAACTTTATCAGTCCTTCAGGCCCAAGTTGACTCTTTAGCTGCAGTTGTCCTCCAAAACCACCGAGGCCTTGACTTACTCACTGCTGAAAAAGGAGGACTCTGTATATTTTTTAATGAAGAGTGTTGTTTTTACCTAAATCAATCTGGCCTGGTGTATGACAACATAAAAGAACTCAAGGATAGAGGCCAAAAACTCGCCAACCAAGCAAGTAATTACTCTGAACCCCCTTGGGCACTCTCTAATTGGATGTCCTGGGTGCTCCCAATTCTTAGTCCTTTAATACCTGTTTTTCTCCTTCCCTTATTCGGACCTTGTATCTTCCGTTTAGTCTCTCAATTCATCCAAAACTGTATCCAGGCCATCGCCAATCATTGTATACGACAAATGCTCCTTCTGGGATTACAGGCGTGAGACACTGTGCCCAGCCATTTTTTTTTTCCTAAAGATGATAACCATTCTTTTCCAGCTGTCTTTTCTTTTTTTTTTTTTTTTTGAGACAGAGTCTCACTCTGTCACCCAGGCTGGAGTGCAGTGGCGCGATCTCAGCTCATTGCAACCTCCACCTCCTGGGGTTCAAGCAATTCTCCCACCTCAGCCTCCTGAGTAGCTAGGATTACAGGCACCCGCCATCATGTCCGGCTAATTTTTGTTTTTTTTTTTTTTTGGAGAGATGGGGTTTCACCATGTCAGCTAGGCTGGTCTTGAACTCCTGACCTTAGGTGATCCGCCCGCCTCAGCCTCCCAAAGTGCTGGGATTATAGGCGTCAGCCACCACACCGGGCGACAAATGCTCCTTCTAACAACCCCACAATATCACCCCTTACCACAAAATCTTCCTTCAGCTTAATATCTCCCACTCTAGGCTCCCACACCGCCCCTAATCCCGCTCGAAGAAGCCCTGAGAAACATCACCCATTATCTCTCCATACCACCTCCAAAAATTTTCGCAGCCCCAACACTTCACCACTATTTTGTTTATTAATATAAGGAGATAGGAATGTCAGGCCTCTGAGCCCAAGTTAAGCCATCATATCCCCTGTGACCTGCAGGTATACATCCAGATGGCCTGAAGCAATTAAAGATCCACAAAAGAAGTGAAAATAGCCTCAACTGATGACATTCCACCATTGTGATTTGTTCCTGTCCCACCCTAACTGATAAATATATTCTCCCCCACCCTTACGAAGGTACTTTGTAATATTCTCCCCTGCCCTTAAGAATGTAGTTTGTATGCCTATCCCAAACCTATAAGAACTAATGATAATCCCACCACCCTTTGCTGACTCTCTTTTCGGACTCAGCCCGCCTGCACCCAGGTGAAATAAACAGCTTTATTGCTCACACAAAGCCTGTTTGGTGGTCTCTTCACACAGACGCCGGTGACACTATTTTCCTAAGCCGTCTGGCTAGTAGCCCCTAATTGTTCAGCTATTCCTCTAACAGCATCTCTAGTGTAGTTAATAAATCGCTATTGGTTGTAATAGACGTAGTTTACCCAATCTACACTTTTATTAATTGTTACCCACCAAAATGTTGACTTAAATCCTGCAGCAATTTGATTTTGGGCTTTAAATTGATCTGGTATTCCCCATGGGACTCTTAATTGTGTCTAAATAGACATGAGAGTCGAAAGACCCATAAAGGGCTTCTCTTGCTTTATGATACTTATTTTTCCTTCCTCTCGTTGATGAAATAACAGGGTGAAAGGGATAGCCAATTGGAATAAAGCACAAGTGCCATTCCAGTTATTTGGCAGTGTCCAGTAAAGATCCACCACAATACCACCACACATCCACTCGGGGATGAACAAGGGCTGACTGATTGATAAGCTCTTGAAAATTCTTAAGCTCACTGCATCCTTCAGGTCTCCAAGGAATGCTAAGTTTCCTCCCTATTGGGAGAGACACGAAGTGAACTTAGTGTTGGGAGACAGAAGCTGGATGGCCCTCGGGGGCTGACGCGCAGGGTGCCGGACTTCAGGATATAGCAGAGAGAGAGCTTGGCGTGAGTTATTACTCCAGGCTGTAGAATCCTGGAAAAGAGCTACCATGCAGCCCACACCTGGTCGACTGGAGGACCACCTTAGTGGAAAGGGGACAATCTGGGCCTCTGGCCTGCCATGTGCACAAGCATAACAATTGCTTTTGTTTAATGTGGACGGAATATTTGATCCATTCCAACCAGGCATTTGCATCTTGGTATCCTGTGTTAATTGCCAAAATGTTTTTTAAGTCTTTAACTTCTATGATCCTCTAGTAAAATGAATATATGGTTTTAGGAAATTACAAAAACTGATTGGGGCAGTCCATACTTGCTCTTTAGTGATCCACAGAACGTTGGACCGACTACGGCATAAAAGCTCTACATTGGGGGTCAAGAATCCTGGTTGACATTGGGATCTTTATCGAAATCCCCCCGGATTCAGTGGTCCTAATTTACTAATGCCCAGTGTGAGGAGAGTCAGGAGGGACAGAGGTACTTTTCAGAAGTAGAGAGCTGTCTTTGACTTGGCAAGTTCCTACGGGATATAACAAGGCAAGCACTAAATGCAATAATTTGAGGCGAAATTGACTTGGTTATGTTAATAACTAGATGGTCAGCAATAGAGCGAGGAAAGGAGAAAGAGTAATAGAATAGATGAAAGAGTTAAATTTTTCTTAGCTTTAATTTGGTAGGGTTTCCCCCTGGGACTATGGCCCACAACTCTGGAGGGGGTGGTGCTTTCTTGACTCGGGTGTGATGAATCCATCCCTTTTTCGCTGTACAAACTGCAGTCTCGGTGGTTGGCAGCACAAGGTAGGGTCCTTCCCAGGCTGGCTCGAGTTTTCCTTCTTTCCACCCTCTGATGACAACATGATCTTCAGGCTGGTGCTGGTTTACCAGAAATTTTAGGGGTGGTACCTGTGCTAAAATATTTTTAGTTTTGAGGGAGAGGAAAGTGGAAGATAAACCAAGCATATAATTTCTAAGAAATCGACCTTTTGTTTTAAATGTGGGGACATCAGCAGTGGACTTTATAGTCCTTGGTGCCTTCTTACTGAGAAATTTCCTTTAGCACTTATTTTTATTAGTTTTTTTAGACCAAAGAACGCCAAACACCATTTTATATTTGACAGTGCTTCCTGTATGATTTTTATACCAGATAAGCTAAATTTCACCTTTATATTAGTGTGTTATTAATTTTTTTTTTTGAAACGGAGTCTCACTCTGTTGCCCAGGCTGGAGTGCAGTGGCGTGATCTTGGCTCACTGCAACCTCTGCCTCCCGGGTTCAAGCAGTTCTCCTGCCTCAGCCTCCCAAGTAGCTGGGACTACAGGCACACGCTGCCACGCCCGGCTAATTTTTTTGTATTTTAGTAGAGACGGGGTTTCACCTTGTTGCCCAGGCTGGTCGCGAACTCCTGAGCTCAGGCAATCTGCCCGCCTTGGCCTCCCAAAGTGCTGGGATTACAAGCGTGAGCCACCACGCCCAGCCTATTAATGTTAAACTTAGTTTTAATAACACTTTGTAGACATATTTATCCAATTTTTAATGTCTGATCATAAGGTAAGTTTTTGTTTTTTGTTTTTTTTTTTTTTTTTTTGAGATGGAGTCTTGCTCTGTCGCCCAGGCTGAAATGCAGTGGCACGATCTCGGCTCACTGCAAGCTCCACCTCTCGGGTTCACGCCATTCTCCTGCCTCAGCCTCCCAAGTAGCTGGGACTACAGGCGCCCATCACCACGCCTGGCTAATTTTTTGTATTTTTAGTAGAGACAGGGTTTTACTTGTTAGCCAGGGTGGTCTCTATCTCCTGACCTCATGATCCACCCACCTCGGCCTCCCATAGTGCTGGGATTATAGGCGTGAGCCACCGTGCCCGGCCCATAAGGTAAGATTTTTATAGACTGTTTTTTTTTTTTCTTTTTGAGAAGGAGTTTCACTCTTGTTGCCCAGGCTGGAGTGCAATGGTGCAATCTTGGCTCACTGCAATCTCTGCCTCCCGGGTTCAAGGAATTCTCCTGTCTCAGCCTCCCAAGTAGCTGGGATTACAGGCATGCACCACCACACCCAGCTAATTTTGGATTTTTAGCAGAGATGGGGGTTTCTCCATGTTGGTCAGGCTGGTCTCGAACTCCCGACCTCAGGTGATCTGCCTGCCTCGGCCTCCCAAAGTGCTGGGATTACAGGCGTGAGCCACTGAGCCTGGCCTGTTTTTAACTTTTTATAATTTTTGTTAAAGAGCGGGTTAGTGCTTTAAGAAAAACCCGTTGTGTTTTTATTTTAATGCTCAGTTCACAGAAAAACTGGGTGATACCCTTTTAACCTTAGCCAATATGTTTACACACATAATTTCCATTACAATTAACATTTTAAAACTTGCTTAAACCTTCAAAACAAATTTTTTTTTTCTTTTTTGAGATGGAGTCCCACTCTGTCACCCAGGCTGGAGTGCAATGGTGCGATCTTGGCTCACTGCAACCTCCGCCTCCCACGTTCAAGTGATTCTCCTGCCTCAGCCTCCTGAGTGAGTAGCTGGGATTACAGGTGCCCACCACAATGCCCAGCTAATTTTCGTATTTTTAGTTGAGACGGGGTTTCACCAGGTTGGCCAGGCTGGTCTCAAACTCCTGATCTCAGGTGATCCACCCACCTCGGCCTCCCAAAGTGCTAGGTAGGATTACAGGTGTGAGCCACCATGCCTGGCCACAAAATTTTTTTTTAACCTTTTAATGTAGGTAAAAATCCACATTCTTATGCCTCCTTATAATCCTTTTACTAAAAGTATATTTTACTTTCCTTATACATCTTGCACATAAATTGTTTCTTCAATAGTTTTACATTCAGGGTAACACCCCTGGTGGCCTTTGGAATGTGTCCAGACTTGCTGGCTTCTTGCTTCTAGCACTCCCATTATCTCAAGTAGCCATACATTTCAAAGAAAATGCTAAACCATCACATCTGTAGTTCATTAGCTTGATACATCGCTTCCTTTCAACCCCCACATCCTCACCCCCTGTTTGTTTGATCACCAATAAATAGTGTGGGCTTCCAGAGCTCCGGGCCTTTGCAACCTCCATACTAGTGTTGGCCCCCTGGTCCCACTTTCTCTCTGAACTTGTGTTTTCTCATTCCTTTGACTCTGCTGGACTTCGTAGCCCCCACGGCCTGGTGTTGGGTCTGATCACCCCAAAAGGTTGATGGCCTTTTTTTTTTTTCCTGCATTGCTGAGAGCTTGGGTTATTCCTTGCACTGGGTAGGTCTTGATTTTTCACGCCTGAGGCCGCCACAATAGGGCGGGGTTCACCTCCTCAAGAGAGAGAACCAGAGACCACCCCCAGAGGGGAATGTAATCCCAGACAAGCCCCCAAATTGTTATATATAAAGTTTCGGTGCCGCAAAAGGAATATCACTCAAATATAAAATTTTCCTTTTAATTCTCAGCAAGGCTAGGTACTTCTATATAGAAGGGTGCACCCTTACAGATGGAACAATGGTGAGCGCACACTTGGACAAGGGAGGGGAAGGGGTTCTTATCCCTAATGCACGTGGCCCCTGCTGCTGTTTCGTTCCCCTATTGGCTAGGGTTAGACAGCACAGGCTAAACTAATTCTGACTGGCTAATTTAAAGAGAATGACGGGATGAGTGCTTTGGCGGGAGTCAGGGCAGAGCAGGTGGCAGGTGATCAAAATGAGTTAGGGTGGAGCAGGAGATCAGAATGAGTCAGGGTGGAGTAGGTAATCAAAAAAGATTGCTTTACGAGGAAGTTAAGTTTAAAAGTAGAAGGTAAAGAATTGAACATAATGACAATTATTTGAAAAGAAATTTAGAACTCATATCTAATACCCTGGAATATAAGAGGAAGTTGCATGCTGCCTCCTCGGTTTTATCCCAGGTAGCTCTAGCTTTCTTGCTGCCCACAGAGGCCTGGAGCAGGAGAGATGCTAAGATGCCATGGAGTGCCCATTTGGCCACTGGCAGTCTGGGCAGGTTGCCCCTTTCTGGGTTTGTGGTGATGGAGGGGAGGCCAAAAGGCGCAGACTGAGTCCCCAGGTGGCTGCAGGCAGCTCCAGCCCAGTCCTGAGGATCCTCCTCACCATGGTCACCTGCCTTAGTAACTGTGCCCAGGAAGTGGCCTGCTGCTTGCTGTGCTGCTGCTTTTCCTACTTCTGCCCTTCCCTGCCACCCCTCACATGTCTCAGTTGACAAGCAATTCCTTGTCTCCCCTGGCCCCCTAGGGAAAGGGCTAAGAAACAGTCCATGTACACCCCGACCTTACTAGCCTAAGGTGGGCAAAGGAGTGTGGAGCAGCCTAGAGTACAGAGCCCTGGGGGAGGAGCCCGCTAATAAGGGACTCTCTCCTATAGCCATTTTAAATGCTAGCTAGGCTGAGGTGGACAAGCTCTGCCAGCTGCTGTCATCTTCAGAAGATAGACGCAGCAGTAAGGAATATTTGTTTTGCTTTTTTATAAAATGTTTAAAAGCACTGTGGCTAAGAAACTTCAGGCCGGGCGCGGTGGCTCATGCCTGTAATCCCAGCACTTTGGGAAGCCGAGGTGGGCGGATCACGAGGTCAGGAGATCGAGACCATCCTGGCTAACACGGTGAAACCCCGTCTCTAAATTAGCCCGCTGTGGTGGCGGGCGCCTGTAGTCCCAGCTACTCGGGAGGCTGAGGCAGGAGAATGCTGGGAGTGGTGGCATGCGCCTGTAGTTCCAGCTACTCTGGAGGTCAAGATGGGAGTCCAGGGCGGTTGAGGCTGCAGTGAGCCAAGATCGTGCCACTACAACCCAGCCTGGGCAACGGAGCGAGACCTTGTCTCAAAAAATTAAAATAAAATAAAAACTCCCACAAGGAAGAAAGTAGTCATCTTTATAGAGTCCTCTCCATGTAGTGTTAGCACAATCACTCAAGAGGCACCCAATGTAGAGAAACGACGGTGAGGTTAGCAGTACCAAGGAGCAGGGTTTGAATCCCGGCTCTTGCTCTTTTTTTTTTTTTTTTTTTTTTTTTTTAGTATTTATTGATCATTCTTGGGTGTTTCTCAGAGAGGGGGATGTGGCAGGGTCATAGGATAGTAGTGGAGAGAAGGTCAGCAGATAAACACGTGAACAAAGGTCTCTGGTTTTCCTAGGCAGAAGTCCCTGCGGCCCTCGGCAGTGTTTGTGTCCCTGGGTATTTGAGATTAGGGAGTGGTGATGACTCTTAAGCATGCTGCCTTCAAGCATCTGTTTAACAAAGCACATCTTGCACCGCCCTTAATCCATTTAACCCTGAGTTGACACAGCACATGTTTCAGAGAGCACAGGGTTGAGGGTAAGGTTATAGATTAACAGCATCCCAAGGCAGAAGAATTTTTCTTAGTATAGAACAAAATGGTGTCTCCTATGTCTACTTCTTTCTATGCAGACACAGTAACAATCTGATCTCTCTTTCTTTTCCCCACATTTCCCCCTTTTCTTTTCGACAAAACCGCCATCGTCATCATGGCCCGTTCTCGATGGTCGCTGTCTCTTCAGAGCTGTTGCGTACACTTCCCAGACAGGGCAGCCTGGCAGAGGCGCTCCTCACCTCCCAGACGGGGTGGCCGGGCAGAGGCGCCCACTTCCCAGACGGGGCGGCCGAATCCCGGCTCTTTCATGTTTTAGCTGTTGGGCTTTGGGGAAGTTATTCTACCTCTTTCAGCCTGTGCACCCTGTCTCATCATTAAAAAATGAGAATGAGGCCAAGTGCAGTGGCTCATGCCTGTAATCCCAACGCTTGGGGAAGCGGAGGCAAGAGAATTGCTTGAGGCCAGGAGTTTGAGACCAGCCTGGGCAACATAATGAGATCCCAATCTCTGCAAAAAAATTTAAAAATTATCTGGGCATGGTAGCACACGCCTGCAGTTCCAGCTACTCAGGAGGCTGAGGTGGGAGGATCACTTGAGCCCAGGAATTTGAGGCTGTAGTGATTGCTCCACTGCGCTCTAGCCTGGGTGACAGAATGAGACCCTGCCTCAAAAAAAAAAAAAAAAAGTGAAAAGTGAAAATGATAATACCTACTATGAAGGATTGCTTTAAGAAGAAATGAGATAATGTACACAAAAGTACATCACATATCGCTTAGCATGTGGCTGAGACTCAGAAAAAATCCTGGCTTTGTTTTCCTGCATTGGGAGTTTATTGTTGTCAAAGTGATGGTTCCAAGAAGTCAAAGGAGAGCCAGAGAACTGGACAGCTCAGCAGCAGTTGGTTTGGGTCACCAAATGCCTCTCTTCTCTCCCTATTGCCACTGACTTAGATCCTGGAGATGTAAGGTTTTAAAAACAGCAGCCTATTATCTTTTATTTTTGGTAATCCTTGTAACCTGGTTCCCTATCTTAATGAAAAAAACCAATGGTTCTGGCTTTATTACCTAAAGAAAGGAATGACAGTATAATACCAATTATAAATAAATGGGTCAAATTTTTGGCTTTAGAGTTTCAAAGACTTATGGCATTAAAAAAAAAAAAAAAGAAAAAATGGACCGGGCGCAGTGGCTCACACCTGTAATCCCAGCACTTTGGGAGGCTGACGCGGGTGGATCACTTGCAGTCAGGAGTTTGAGACCATCCTGGCCAACATGGTGAAACCCCGTCTCTACTAAAAATACAAAAATTAGCCGGGTGTTGTGGCACGTGCCTGGAATCCCAGCTACTTGGGAGACTGAGGCATGAGAATCCCTTGAACCCGGGAGGCAGAGGTTGCAATGAGCTCACTGCACTCCAGCCTGGGCGACAGAGCAAGACTCTGTCTCAAAAAAAAAAAAGAAAAGAAAAGAAAAAAAGAGAAAATGAAGAGTTCCTTTTCTCAACACTCTCATCAATACATGCATGCACACACACTCTTGCATGCAGCCATGAATTCTCATGTGTGCATACACACATTCAAAGGACTAGATAAAGATTCTCCAGACTTTGCAATAGGGAAGTCAGGTGGAAGCAGGGAGCTAGAATGGATAATGTATGAAGAAACTATTAATGTGTTTTTTCCTTTTATACTCTTTTGCCTTCAGCAAGTAAATGACCTCTTTCTTATTTGGTTGTGGCATCAAACTGCTTGTGAGGAGATTAAGATTGTTTCAGAAGAAATATAAAGAGAAGGAAATGGTAATATGCATCTATTGAAATTCAAAATAGGATTTTGCAGCAAGACAATGGACTTGAAAACTGGACTATGAGAAAGAAATTGTTTTCTGCATTCATTTAGCTCCCATTTAACATAATCAAGAGCCAGATCTAGAATCAAGTTTCTACCAAAGGAGGAGGTAATTTAATCTCTCATCTTTGATTTCCTATATGTCCATAATGAGGATAATAACAGCTACCTCAACAGATTGTTTCCAAAGGGAACCCTTGTCTTTTGAAGTGGCAATTAGAGCTAGGAAGCCAAAGATAAGATATGAAAAGAATAAAAGAGAAGCCTACCACTTCTCATCTTGGAGTTTCAACAAGACGAAGGCAGGGAGGTGAGAGTCAAGGAGATGCCTTGGAATTGGGGGAATGGCTTCAGAAACATCCAGAAAACAGAAGAGATCACTGAAGCTGCTACAAAATTTTGCCCATTGTAGATAAGTGGGCAAATCAGGATGCACTGGCAGGGAGACAGGGTCTGTTTTGTGTTACCAGCCCTTTTCCAGTGATGGGTATTGAATTGAGAGCCATGGGCCTGCCATGGGGCATGGGGGGTAGGAAGAGGGTGACCTGGCAGCAGAGGCATGTGGTTTGCATAACTTGGTTAGGAGCTGAATGGGAGACATGGTAGAGATTCAGGGGTCCCACTGGGCTACCGAGAGCCACAGGGAGGTTGAGTCAGCCAGAAAGCACCAGTGAGATCAGATCCAGCCAAGAGATCCACGAGAAACTCTAAATGTTGACTTTAGCCAAAGGCCCCCAGGATGAATGTGACCAAGTACATACTGACTCATAAACCGGAGGAGCTGGAGGACACTCTGAGAACCCAAGGACCCTTGCTGTCCTCCTATACCTGTCCCCAGGAGATTGCTTAAGCCACTCTATTTATTTTCATGCTCATGGGTTTGTGAGTTGTCTGTGGTTTGTCTAATCAGGCTGGGCTTGACAGGGCTTGGTAGGACTCCTTTAGTCCTGGTCCAGTGTCTATTCTGGGTCACAGCTGAAGGGGCAATGGATATCTGGAATTTGCCTTTCTCTTGTCAGATCACAGGAGTGCAAGAGGCCAAGCCAAACTACAAAAGCACATTGAAAGCATCTGCTTGCATCGTGTCCTCTGACATTCTGTTGGCACAAGCAAGTCACACAGCAAAGGGGATGGATGTACACTTAAATAATAAGGAGGAAGCAAAGGATTGGGAATAACAGTCCAAACCACCACAGGGCCCTACCTACCCCCAAGAAGTAATATCCTCAGATTGATCTGGGAAATCCAAGAGCAGATGATGTTTCCCATGTGCCAAGAATATCAGTGGAGTATCACACAGAGGGCCCCAAAAGCCAGCACGCCAAGGATGATGGAGCAGGATGAAGAGACCCTGGGTCTTAGATAATATCGTTAGGGGGCTTACTGGCTGCTGACCTCCGGACATTTTTGAAATATGAAACAATTAAATGTCTTTATTAACTGACATTATTAGCTGAGTTTTCTGTTGCTTTCATCTGAATGCATCCTCACTGTTGCAGGACTCTATTTTTATTTTTATTTATTTATTTATTTTTGAGATGGAGTTTCACTCTTGTCGCCCAGGCTGGAGTGCAATGGTGCCATCTTGGCTCACTGCAACCTCCACCTCCCGAGTTCAAGTGATTCTCCCACCTTAGCCTCCCCAGTAGCTGGGACTACAGGCATGTGCCACTATGCCAGGCTAATTTTGTATTTTTAGTGGTGACAGGTTTCACCGTGTTGGCCAGGCTAGTCCTGACCTCAGGTGATCTGCCCACCTCGACCTCCCAAAGTGCTGGGATTACAGGCTTGAGCCACCACGCCCAGCCTTGTTGCAGGACTCTTATTAACCCTATTTGTCCATGAGACCCAGAGACATAAAGGCGGGAGTTTGGGTTTTTTGTTTTGTTGTTTTTTCAGGCAGCCCTCTGAACCAAAATGGGTTCAGAGAGACTCCCTGGAGGTTGGGTTTGATCTCAGACTTTGTCTCCAGAGCACATGCTTTTACCCACCATTGTGTTATCCTACCTTCCAAGCTTGCGTGAGGCTGAAGTGTCTTATGTACTTGTAGTTTATTCAAAGGATAAAGTGGTAAAATGCCCTCATAGTGAAAAAGTGAAAGGTCTGTGCATGGCAGTAAAAAAGTGCCAATGTGACCTTGGTCTGGCCGGTAGCTGGTCAACTCAGGAAAGAGTCAGCTCCCAGAGACCCCTACTCAGTTGTAAGGCTTGTCTTGGGATTGCCCCAGCTTTACTCAGAGAGGAATGTTGTAGTGAAGGTGACTCCATCCAACAATTTAGTCAAACCTGCTTGCTTGAATCAGGCCCTCTCAAGTACCTCCTCCCTTCATTACTCTATTCTCCTTTGAGATACTGGGAAGGAAATTTAGCAAATAGCTGGTCTAAGCCATCAGCTCTCAGATCCACTCTATAGATTAAGATATCTGGATCACATGGAAATATTTGTCTAAGTTGATACCAGGGACAGACCCAACCATGGTCTGCCCCCCAGGAGGTGCTCAGTCAGGATTTACTAATAAACAAACAAACCATCATCTAGTATTAAGGACTGATGATTGTCACTAGGATCCAGCGATAACTTGACTTAAAGTTCTATTTGCCAGAATATTCAGGGTTATTGACATTCAAGGGAACTGACTGACGCTAGCCAAAGTCACACGAGACTGATAGGTAAGCTAGAATACCTGGGACATTGATTTTTCCAGTGAGTAGTGAATTCTTGTTCCTCAGCCTAAGGCACTTCCTGGTACTAAGGTGCAGATGCAGACTAAACAAGATGATTACCCAACATGAGCCAGAGGGTCAGAACCTGGTGAGGGAAGTTTCTCCAGGGCCCTGCAGAAGCCACTGAGCTATCCGTGCCTTGGGTGGATTTAGGAATTTTGAAAGTGTGACTTAGGCCGGGTGTGGTGGCTGACGCCTGTAATCCCAGCACTTTGGGAGGCCGAGGCGGGTAGATCACGAGGTCAGGAAATCGAGACCATCCTGGCTAACACGCTGAAACCCCGTCTCTACTAAAAAATACAAAAAATTAGCCAGGCGTGGTGGTGGGCGCCTGTAGTCCCAGCTACTCGGGAGGCTGAGGCAGGAGAATGGCATGAACGCGGGAGGCGGAGCTTGCAGTGAGCCAAGATCGCACCACTACACTCCAGCCTGGGCGACAGAGTGAGACTCCGTCTCAAAAAAAAAAACAAAACAAAAACAAAAACAAAACAAAACAAAAAAACTGGAAAATCTAGTCCTGCCCAAGCTCCTCTCTCTGTCTTTGAGGGGAGCCAATCTCCAGAAATCGCTGCTGTCTTCCCCATTACCCTGCATGGCTGCTGGCTCCCAGGTGACCATCCCAGAATCTCCAAGTGTTCAGGGCCACCTCTGCTGCATCTGCCAGAACTCCCAAGCTTCACTGACCTCCTATGATGATGGGGCCCCTGGTGCTGACACAGCTCAGCCTCTTTATGAGAGGCTCCTGCACAGAGGGACCAGGACTGCACTGACACCTCCTTGCCTAGGGCTCTGCTTCCACAGCTGGGCTGTAGCCCTTCTTTCTTCCGGTCTTCTCCTTTGTTCTGAAGCAGGAGGACTTCCCAGGGCATTCCAGTTTGCCGTGTTTCTTTCACTCATTCCGCCAAACATATTTATTGGTGGCCAATTTTGTGACATCAATGTGCTAAGCACTGGGGTAGTGGTGAACAAAAGTTAGGTCCCTGTCCATGTAGTTTAGGGTCCAGCTGAGAATACCAACATTTAATGAGACATCACAATGAAATGTGCTGAGAGTCATGGAACAGAGACACCTAATCTAGTGGGAGAGAAAGCAAAGCCCTTTCTAACAATGTGAAGTTTATGATGAGAACTGGAGAATGAGTAGAAATTAGCCCCGTAAAAGAATGGGGGCGAAGAGGCTTACTGTTTTATACAAATTGCTTCCAATAGCAGAAAAATGCTTCATGAGATAATTACCTAGATACAGAGTTATAACCAACATTAAAAACAAAACAAGCGGCCAGGCGTGGTGGCTCACGTCTGTAATCCCAGCACTTTAGGAGGCCGATGTGGGCAGATCACGAGGTCAGGAATTCGAGACCAGCCTGGGGAAGCCAACATGGAGAAACCTTGTCTCTACTAAAAATACAAAAATTAACCGGGCGTGGTGGTGGGCGTCTGTAATCCCAGCTACTCAAGAGGCTGAGGCAGGAGAATCGCTTGGACCTGGGAGGCAGAGGTTGCAGTGAGCCGAGATTGTGCCACTGCACTCCAGCCTGGGCAACAGAGCAAGACTCCGTCTCAAAAACATAAAAAAAAACAAAGAAAAGAAAACTAAAAACAAGCAAAGAAAAAAAAATGCCTTTCAAAAAGAGAGTATACTTTCAAACTATTTTATAAGACTTAATATAACCTAGTCTGGTAGCAGTGGCTCATGCCTGTAACCCCAGCATTTTGGGAAGCCAAGGCGGGTGGATCTCTTGAGGCCAGGAGTTCGAGACCAGCCTGGCCAACATGGCAAAACCCCATCTCTACTAAAAATTTAAAAACATTTTTTTAAAAAATTAGGCGACCATGGTGGCACATGCCTGTAATCCCAGCTATTCGGGATGCTGAGACACAAGAATAGCTTGAACCTTGGAGGTGGAGGTTGCAATGAGCTGAGATTGTGCCACTGCACTCCAGCTTGGGTGACAGAGCGAGACTCTTATCTCAAAAAAAAAAATTAATATAACCTCTATAACAATATTAGACAAAGACAGTGAAAGAAAGGAAAGCTATAGGCTAATCTCACTGACAAACATACCTGGAAAAATCCTAAATAAAAGTTTTGCAAATGAAACCAAGCTGTGTGTGTGAGCATGTGTGTGTATTTGTGTACAATGCTAACTTGACAATGAAAAATAAAAAATCCATAAATAATGACTTATTTCACTTAGCATAATGTTTTTGAGGTTCCTCACCGTTGTAGCATATAATGTATCACTACCACATTCCTTTTTTTTTTTCTTTCCTTGAGACAGGGTCTTACCATTGCCCAGGCTGGAGTGTAGTGGTGTGATCATGTTTCACTGTAGTCTCCGCCTCCTGGGCTCAAGTGATACTCCAACCTCTTGCCTTCCGAGTAGCTGGGACCACAGGCACGAGTCACCATGTCCGGCTAATTTTTTTTTTTTTTTGAGGAAGCAATTTCTTTAATTTTATCAGAATCCAGGACACAAGAAGAAAAACACCCAAAAACCACATGGAGACAGAAGACAAGACACAACTCCTCCCCCACTGCCTCCCTGCTCTAGAGTGGGGACAAAGTGGGGGTGAGACAGCTGGGGGGAGACCTGAACCTCAGTCCAGCCCTACAGGCTCCAGGCCTGCAGGGAAGGAGGGTAACGGGGAGGCAGGGCCCAGCCCCCCAGTGTGGGGAAACAGCTGAGGGAAGGCCCCCCTCAAAAGGCTCCACCTCCTCACCAGCACTCCTGCCCAGGGACAGGGAGCCCACAGCAGCAAGGGGACCCCCGGGGCCATGGCCACGTTCATGACTGAGAAGCAGCTGAGTGGAGGCAGGAGACACAAGATTATCTGGGCAGAATCAGTTGGGGCAGGGGCCTGGGAGGGCCCCATGGGCCAAACCCTAAGGTTACAGGAGGGGGCCCAAAGTGGGGCTAGTGAGTGAGGTCCTGAGTGAGTGGGTCAGTGGCTGGGCCTCTTTCTCCAGCTGCCTGTAGCCCCTCCAATACTGCTGCCAGGGGGGCCCGCCTCCAGGGAAATGGGATAAGAAAGCAGCCTGCCCCTACTGCAGACAGAGCCAGGTGGCTGAGGCCAGGAAGGAAGGCCCAGCCAGGCCTTGCCACCTGCCCCTAGAGGCCTGTGGGAAAAGGACAGGTCAGGAAGGGTGGGGACAGGGGCTCGACCAGCTCAGACCCAAGATGGTGCCATGCTTACTTGCTGAGTCCCCCATGAGCTGGGGTACTGCACTGGGGCCAGCGACTAGTTAGACAGGAGGCAGCAGCTTCTCAAGAAATTCCTTCACAGCTGCCATCTCCTGAGGACAGGAGCTGTGCATGACACCCAGGTATGTCTGGAACTGGACCCTGGCAGGTGTGACAACAGACCGGAGCTTCTCAGCCATCAGGGCCCCAAACCGTACGGGCACCATGGGGTCCAGCTCCCCATGGCACTGGAGGATGGCCAGGTCCTTGGCACTGCCATTAGCTGCCTGGGGGAAGGCCCAGTGCAGAGGCGGCCAGCAGCTCAAAGCCAGGATGCCAGCCAGAGGGTGGGGGCAGGTGAGGGCCATGTAGAGGGACAGGGCCCGGCCCTGTGAAAAGCCTCCCAGGATGATTTGATTGGCAGGGATCCCGTTCTTCATTTCATGCTCAATCAAGGCCTTGATGTTCTCTGCTGCCTTCTTGATGCCAGCCTCGTCCTCTGGGGCATCTGGACTCAGCCCCATCAGGTCAAACCAGGAGGGCATCACCATCTTCATGTTGAGGGTCACAGGGATCCTAGGCTCATGGGAACAGATGTACTTGACGTGAGGGAGCCGAATGGTGGAGAGGGCGTCAGCCCAGCTGTGCCCTGTGTCTCCAAGTCCATGTAAAAAAATAACCACGGCCGTTTCCCGCTCAGCTCCAGACACGGTGGCAGCATCGTTGAGCAGGGGCACAGACATGGTGTTACCACACATACACCACACGGCTCCATGGCAGGGGCCTCCACTCCCTGGGACTTCTGAGGCCGCTTGGGTGATTCTCCTCTTTCTCCCGCAGACACACACTCTTCCCCCTCGGCCGCCCCCGCCGGAACACTAATTTTTTTATTTTTTTATTTTTAGTGGACATGGGGTCTCCCTATGTTACTTACCTAGCCTGGTCTCAAACTCCTAGGCTCCAGGGATCCTCTTGCCTCAGCCTCCCAAAGTGCTGGGATTACCACGCTCAGCCCATCACTCCCTGTGTTCCTTTCATTTATTTTTTTCTTTGAGACAGAGTCTTACTCTGTCACCCAGGCTGGAGTGCAGTGGTATGGTCATGGCTCACTGCAACCTCAACCTCCCAGGCTCAAGTGATCCTCCCATCTCAACCTCCCTAGTAGCTGGCATTCCTTTTTATGGCTGAATAATACTCCATTGCCTGTACAGATCACAATTTATTTATCCATTCATCAGTTAGTGGGCATTTGGGCTGTTTTCACCTTTTGGCTATTATAAATAATGTTGCTATAAACATTTGTATACAAGTTTCTGTGTGGATATATATCTTCATTTTTCGTGGGTATATACCTGGGAGTAGAATTGCTGGATCATCTCATAGATAAACAAAGCCAGACACTAGCTAAAGTGGTAAGGACAGGACAGGCACAGAGGCTCACGCCTGTAATCCCAGCGCTTTGGGAGGCCGAGGCAGGCGGATCACTTGAGGCAAGGAATTCGAGACCAGCCTGACCAACATGGTGAAACCCCATCTCTACTAAAAAACAAAAATTAGCTGGGCATGGTGGTGCACACCTGTAATCCCAGCTACTCAGGAGGCTGAGGCAGGAGAATCGCCTGAACTCGGGAGGCAGATTTTGCAGTAAACCAAGATTGTGCCATTGCACTCCAGCCTAGGCCACATAGCAAGTCTCCGTCTCAAAATAATAAATAAATAAATAAATAAATAAATAAATAAAGTGGTAAGAACAGATTTTAATCAGTGACATATTATTGCAATAGGGAAAAGAGCCTAGCTTGAACTGAACTCAACTTTGATTTGTAGAGATAACTGGGCATTTTAAAGCAAGAATGAAAGAACAGAGAGGGTGAGTGGGGACTCAATGACGTCAGAGAAGTGACAGATTACAAAAAGTGGGAAGGGGGTTGGTCTGTGTTAAGCCCACCTGGCCTTGTTAGCTGGGGCTTATCATTAGGCTCCTACACTCTCACAGCAGCTGGGAAACAGGGGCCTTACCTTCATCTGTGGGCTGGAACAAACAGTACATTCTTTTGGCAGCCTTGAGTTCTCTCAGTCAGACACTTTAAAGGGCATTAGGGTCATCCTAGAGATGTGGCCTTGAACTGTTAGAAACTATGTTAGTGTTCATGAAAGTCTTTATCAAGTCGGACGCAGTAGCTCATGCCTATAATCCCAGCACTTTGGGAGGCCGAGGTGGGCGGGTCACTTGAGGTCAGGAGTTCGAAACCAGCCTGGCCAACATGGTGAAACCCCATCTCTACTAAAAATACAAAAAAAACTAGCTGGGCTTGGGGGCAGGCGCCTGTAATCCCAGCTACTCAGGAGGCTGAGGCAGGAGAATTGCTTGAACCCGAGAGGTGGAGGTTGCAGTGAGCTAAGAACGGGCCATTGCACTCCAGCCTGGGGGCAACAAGAGTGAAACTCTGTCTCAAAAAAAAAAAAAAATCCTGGTTTTTTTTTTTTTACCTTTTTTTTTTTTTTGAGACGGAGTCTTGCTCTGCTGCCTAGGCTGGAGTGCAGTGGTGCGATCTCGGCTCACTGCAACCTCCGCCTCCCTGGTTCACGCCATTCTCCTTCCTCAGCCTCCCAGGTAGCTGGGACTACAGGCGCCTGCCAACACACCCCGCTAATTTTTTGTATTTTTAGTAGAGGTGGGGTTTCACTGTGTTAGCCAGGATGGTCTCGATCTCCTGACCTCGTGATCTGCCCGCCTCAGCCTCCCAAAGTGCTGGGATTACAGGTGTGAGCCACCGTGCCCAGCCCCTGGTTATCTTTTTGTACCTTTTGAAATATATGTAAATATGCTGGTTTTGCAAACATTAAATTAATAATAAAAGCCATGCCATAGCAGACTACATCATATATAGGTATATAACCAATAAAGAATTACTGTCTAGAATTTACAAAGAACTCCACAAATCGATATGAAAAAGACAACCAACCCAAGAGAAAAAAAAATTTAAATATAGGAAAGACAATCCCTCAAAGAGAAAATAGAAAATGCAAATTAATACTGACATTTTGGGCTTCAAAAAAAAGCAAATTAAAATAACGACAAGGGCTGGGTTCAGTGGCTCACGCCTGTAATCCCAGCGCTTTGGGAGGCTGAGGAGGGTGGATCATGAGGTCAGGAGTTCAAGACCAGCCTGGCCAAGATGGTGAAACCCCATCTCTACTAAAAATACAAAAATTAGCCAGGTGTGGTGGCAGGTGCCTATAATTCCCGTTACTCAGGAGGCAGAGGCAGGAGAGTTGCTTGAACCCAGGGAGGGGGTGGGGGCGCAGAGGTTGTAGTGAGCTGAGATCATACCACTGCACTCCAGCCTGGGCAACAGTGAGACTCCGTCTTAAAATAAATAAATAAATAAATAAATACATACATACATACATACATACATAAAATAAAATAACGATGAGGTGAAAAAAATAAAATTAATAAAATTAAAAATAAAATAATAAAATAACAAGGCGACATTCATTAAATTGGCAAAGACAGGTTTGGGAATATCAGATGTTGCTGAAGCTCCAGGGCAACAGGGACTTTCTTCTAGTGGATGGGAGCGTAAACCAGAAAAACCACTGTGGAGACCATTTGGCAATATCTAGTAGAGTTGATAATACAACTCTACTTATGAGCTTATACCCAGCCTCTCCCACATTTGCTCAAGAAGGCATGCAGAAGTATGTTCATTGCAGCATTTTTTAATATAACAGTATATAAAGTAATTGGAAATACTTTAAAATCCATAAACAGAAGAATGGATACATTATTTGTGATATATTTATATAATTGAATATTAAAGAGCTGCGTTATCCCACATGGTAGCAATGAGCCACATGAGGCTATTTAAACTTAAATTTAAATAATTAAAATTACGTCTATGTTTCACATTTTAAAAATTTAAATTTAGTTCCTTGGCCAGACACGGTGGCTCACGCCTGTAATCCCACCACTTTGCCGAGGCGGGCGGATCAGGAGGTCAAGAGATCGAGACCATCCTGGCCAACAGGGTGAAACCCCATCTCTACTAAAAATACACAAATTAGCTGGGTGTGGTGGCACATGCCTATAGTCCCAGCTACTCAGGAGGCTGAGGCAAGAGAATCGCTCGAACCCTGGAGGTGGAGGTTGCAGTGAGCTGAGATCACGCCACTGCACTCCAGCCTGGCGACAGAGCAAGACTCCGTCTCAAAAATTAGTTCCTTTGTCACATTAGCCACATTTCAAGTGCTCAGTAGCCACATGTGATTAGTGAGTACCCATATTAGACAATGCTGATATAGAAAATTTCCATCATTGCAGAAAGTTCTATTGGACAGCACTGTTCTACAACATAAAATGAGCTAACTGGGTCTAAATATTTCAAAAAGAAAAAAAAACAAAAAACATCAAAATATAAGACTCAAAAATATGAAGTTCATCAGAAAAAGAAGGCAAGTTGTAGAACACATAGAATATCCTCCTATTTAAAATTTGGTACAGCATGATGACTATAGTTAATAACAATGTATTGTAGGCGCGGTGGCTCACACCTGTAATCCCAGCACTTTGCAAGGCTGAGGAGGGCAGATCACCTGAGGTCAGGAGTTCGAGACCAGCCTGGCCAATATGGTGAAACCCCATTGCTACTAAAAATACAAAAATTAGCTGGGTGTGGTGGTGCGCACCTGTAGTCCCAGCTACTTGGGAGGCTGGGGCAGGAGAATCTCATGAACCCGGAAGGCAGAGGTTGCAGTGAGACGAGATCACACCATTGTACCTCAGCCTGGGCGTCATAGCAAGACTCCCTCTCAAAACAAACAAAGCAAAACAGGCCAGGCATGGTGGCTCACGCCTGTAATCCCAGCACTTTGGGAGGCCGAGGGGGGCGGATAACGAGGTCAGGAGATTGAGACCATCCTGGCTAACACGGTGAAACCCCGTCTCTACTAAAAATACAAAAAAAAAATTAGCTGTGTGATGGCTGACGCCGGTAGTCCCAGCTACTTGGGAGGCTGAGGCAGAAGAATGGCATGAACCCAGGAGGCGGAGCTTGCAGTGAGCCGAGATCGCGCCACTGCACTTCAGCCTGGGTGACAGAGCGAAACTCCGTCTCAAGAAAAAGACAAACCAAACCAAACCAAACCAATATATTGTATTCTTGAAAAATGTTAAGAGATTGAATGTTGTGTTCTCACCACAAAAATGGTAATTATGTGAGGTAATGCATATATGTTAATTAGCTAGATTTAGTCATTCCAAGTTTATATATGCTTCAAAATAGCATGTAATACCTATGGAAACTAAGAATTAGGCTGGGCACAGAGGCTCACACCTGAAATCCCAGTGCTTTGGTAGGCCAAGGCAAGAGGATTGCGTGAACCCAAGAATTTGAAACCAGCTTGGGCAACATAGGCAGGCCATGTCTCTACAAAAAATACAAAAAATTAGCTGGGAGTGGTGGCTGGAGCCTGTAGTCCCAGCTATAGGCTGAGGTGGGAGGATCACTGGAGCCCAGGTGTTTGAGACTGCAGTGAGCCTTGACTGTGGCAGTGCACCCCAGCCTGGGAGACTTGTCTCAAGAAAATACTGAAAATAAAAATAAAAAAGCAGGCCAGGCGCGGTGGCTTACGCCTGTAATCCCAGCACTTCGGGAGGCTGATGTGGATGGATCACTTGAGGCCAGGAGCTCAGGAACAGTCTGGACAACAAGGAGAAACCCCATCTCTATCAAAAAATACAAAAATTAACTGGACATGGTGGTGCATGCTTGTAGTCCCAGCTACTCTGGAGGCTGAGGCATGAGAATCTCTTGAATCCAGGAGGTTGAATTTGCAGTGAGCCAAGAAGATCACTCTACTGCACTCCAGTCTGGGTGACAGAGCTAGAATTTGTCTCAAAAATAAATAAATAAATATTTAATAAATAAATAATCAAACCAAAACCAAACCATCATGTCCTATATGATAAATATGTAAAATTTATCTGTCAGTTTAAAAATAATAGGCTGGGCACATTGGCTCATGCCTGTAATCCCAGCACTTTGGAAGGCCAAGGCAAGTGGATCACCTGAGGTCAGGAGTTTGAGACCAGCCTGGCCAACATAGTGAAACCCTGTCTCTACTAAAAATACAAAAATTACCTGGGCGTGTAATCCCAGCACTTTGGGAGGCCGAGGCAGGTGGATCATGAGGTCAGGAGATTGAGACCAAAAAAAAAAATTTTTTTTGAGACAGAGTACTCTGTCACCCAGGCTGGACTGCAGTGGTGTGATCTTGGCTCACTGCAACCTCTGCCTCCCCAGTTCAAGGGATTCTCCTGCCTCAGCCTCCCGAGTAGCTGGGATTACAGGTGCCCACAACCATGCCTGGCTAATTTTTGTATTTTTAGTAGAGATGGGGTTTCGCCATGTTGGCCAGGCTGGTCTCGAACTCCTTACCTCAGGTGATCTGCCCATCTCGGCCTCCCAAAGTACTGAGATTACAGGCGTGAGCCACCACACCTGGCCTCTAAGAACTCTTTTTTTTTTTTCCGAGACGGAGTCTTGCTCTGTCACCCAGGCTGGAGTGCAGTGGCCCGGCCATAAAAACTCTTGAACAAGAATGGATGGGGGCTGGGCACGGTGGCTCATGCCTGTAATCCTAGCCCTTTGCTGAGGTTGGCAAATCACTTGAGGTCAGGAGTTGGAGACCAGCCTGGCCAACATAGCAAAACACTGTCTCTACTAAAAATACAAAAAGTAGCCAGGCGTGGTGGAAGGTGCCTGTAATCTCTGCTACTCAGAAGGCTGAGGCTGGATAATCCCTTGAACCCAAGAGGTGGAGGTTGCAGTGAGCCGAGATCTTGCCATTGCACTCTGGCCTAGGCAACAGAGTGCAACTGCCTCTCAAAAGAAAAAAAAAAAGAATTGATGGGTTGGCAGGGTACTGACACTTGGAGGTGCTGGGAGGGTGGTGCCCAGATGGGCCATGGAAGCGCCAAGCCTCTTCCTCCCAAAAGCTCACCCTATGCATCTTTTAAATCCAGCTATTCATCTATATCTTTAAAACGTCCTGCATAATTAAGTGATAAACGTGTTTCCCTGAGTTCTGTTAGCAATCCTAGCAAATTATGAAGCCAAGGAGGGGGTTGTAGGAACCCTGATTTATAGCAGGTTTGTCAGAAGCACAGATCACAGCCTTGGTCTTGGAATTGGCATCTAAAGTGGGAGGCAGTCTTTTGGGACTCAGCCCTCCCCCTGTGGAATCTGACACCATCTCCAGGTAGCTAGTGGCTGAATTGAATCAAATAGGCCACTCAGTATTTGCTGGATAGTTAACTGTTTGGTGTGTGGAGAAAAAGTCCCATACATCTGGTCACAAGTGTTTTGTGTTGTGTGAGCAGACAGGGAGGGTCTTCAGGGATTACAGAAATTTAATCACCCTGAGCAATTGGCTTGTTTTACAGCCTCCTGCCGTGCAGCCTCTTTTTTCCTAAACCCTGTGTTGACTGCAGTCACCTAGTTGGTTAAAACTGGCTCCTGGCAGACCCCAGAAACTTGTAGATAAACCTGAGTGAAAGTTCCTCATTACCATGCTGAAATCTCCATCCTGGGAGGAGCTGTGGCTTCATTCTCATAGCATGTGACCTGTGTGCGGGCGTGAGGATTCACTGTGTTTCCAAAACTGGGACCCCTCCTCTACATGCAATGAGGCACCCTCTCCCCTCCCCATCACCCCCTAAAATCCTCCTGTCACTTCTCTCCGGGAGACACTGCTTTGAAGAATCCTCCCAGTGCTCTCCCTACTTGTAATTAAACTCCTGTTGATTAAAACCTGCCTTGTGGAGAGTCATTTGTTATTTGCCAGGCAAACAAACCCTGTTTTTTTTCAGGTAACAAGAGTATGGTGGAAGAAAACAGTTTAGGTCAGGCACAGTGGTGCATGCCTATAATCCCAGCACTTTGGGAGGCCGAGGCAGGTGGGAGGAACACTTGAGCCCAGGTGTTGGAGACCAGCCTGGGCAACATAGTGAGACACCCCCCAACTCCACCCCCATAAAAAAAAAAAGAAAAAAAGATGTAATCCCAGCACTTTGGGAGGCTGAGGCAGGCGGATCACTTGAGGTCAAGAGTTGGAGACCAGCCTGGGCAACATGGTGAAACCCCGTTTCTATTCAAAATATAAAAAAATTAGCCAAGCATGGTGGTGGGCGCCTGTAATCCCAGCTACTCCAGAGGCTGAGGCAGGAGAATTGCTTGAACCCGGGAGGTGGAGGTTGCAGTGAGCCGAGATCCTGCCATTGCACTCCAGCCTGGGTGACAGATCGACACTTAGTCTCCAAAAAAAAAAAAAAAGAGGCCAGGCACAGTGGCTCACACCTGTAATCCTAGCACTTTGGGAGGCCGAAGCGGGTGGCTCACCTGAGGTCAGGAGTTTGAGACCAGCCTGGCCAACATGGTGAAACCCCATCTCTACTAAAAATACAAAAATTAGCCGGGTGGGGTGGCACGGGCCTGTAATCCCAGCTACTTGGGAGACTGAGGCAAGAATTGTTTGACCCGGGAGGTAGAGGTTGCTGTGAGTTGAGATCGTGCCAATGCACTCCAGCCTGGGTGACAGGGTGGGACTCTGTCTCAAAAAAAAAAAAAAAAAAAAAAGTTTGTGTTTACAGTTGTATAAGGAAGTGGTGTCTGTGAGGTTTGCTGAGGCTCAGAAATTAATACCCCAAAATATGCCAACATGCTGAACTGAAGAAGAAACTTCAAGGTTTCTCTGACCTCTCTTCTCAACCAGCTCTCCCACAGGCAGGATGAGTTATTCTCTGAAGTTCCTTTATCTGCTTCAAGTCCAGACATACCACAAAGAATAATTGTTTTCTCTTCCCCTCCCTGTAAGATCAGGAATGGAATCACACCTGAGCAGGTCCTTTCCCAAAAGAGTCTGTCTCTCAGCTCATTCACATTCCACAGGGAACTATTCAAAACTCAATCTCTATCTCTGGGCCCATTCATTCTCCCTAATAATCGCCTATGGCCCCTCAAGAGAATTCCTGTTCCCTATCCCATAACCTGTTTTGCCAGGATGGTAAATAAGCTCCTGAACCCTGTTGTGGATTGGTTAATCACTCTGTGGTTCTCTCTGTGTACACATTAATCCATTTATATGCCTCTTCTCCAATGCACCTTTTTTTTTTTGTTTTGTTTTGTTTTGTTTTTTGGACAGACTCTTGCTCTGTCGACAGGGCTGGAATGCAATGGCACAATCTCAGCTCACTGCAACCTCCACCTCCTGGGCTCAAGTGATTCTCCTGTCTCAGCTTCCCGAGTAGCTGGGATTACAAGCACACGCCACTGTGCCCAGCTAATTTTTATATTTTCACCATGTTTCCAGGCTGGTTTTGAACTCCTGACCTCAGGTGATCCACCCGACTCAGCCCCCCAAAGTGCTGGGATTACAGATGTGAACCACCGTGCCCAGCCTGCATCTATCTTTCGTGAGTTAATTTTCCAGCCAACCTTCAGAGGGCGAAAGGGAAGTTTTCCTTTGGCCCATACAGGTTCATTATAGCTATTCTATGTAGTTTTCTACTTAAGTATGTCATAATTTCAAAAGAGAAAAAGAGAAGGGAGAAAATTGTTCTAAGCTTTCAATGTGAAGGCCTGGCACTTTTAAAGAATAACAGCTTCTGTGGCCAGACTTTTAGTATCAGTATGGACTTTCCCTGGAGAAGTCCAGCCAGATGGGCAGACTGGGCAGATGCTTATACTGATTAGCTAGATTTAGCTAATGGGCAGAGCCGTCACAATGCACTGGTTGAAATGGTGCAAAAAAATAATGTAAGGCTTTTTTTTTTTTGGTACAGGATCTGGCTCTGTTGCCTATGCTGGAGTACAGTTGCTCAATCTTGGCTCACTGTAACCTCCGTTTCCTGGACTCATGCCATCCTCTCGCTTCAGCCTTCTGAGAAGCTGGGACTACAGGAATGCACCATCACACCCGGCTAATTTTTGTATTTTTTGTAGAGATGGGGTTTCACCGTGTTAACTAGGCTGGTCTCATAACCGCCCAATGTGTTTACCTTGCCCGCTGCCTAGACAGAGCCGATTTCTCAAGACAGAGGAATTGCAATATAGAAAGAGTAATTCACGCAGAGCCTGCTGTGTGGGAGACAGGAGTTTTATTATTACTCAAATCAGTCTGCCCAAGAATTCGAGGAGCAGAGTTTGTTTTTGTTGTTGTTGTTTTGTTCTGTTTTTTGAGATGGAGTCTCTCTCTGTCACCCAGGCTGGAGTGCAATGGCAAAATCTTGGCTCACTGCAACCTCCACCTCCCAGGTTCAAGTGATTCTCCTGCCTCAGCCTCAGTAGCTGGGATTACAGGCCTGTGCCACCATACCCAGCTGATTTTTGTATTTTTAGAGACAGGATTTCACCAAGTTGGCCAGGCTGGTCTTAAACTCCTGACCTCAGGTGATCCACCTGCCTCAGCCTCCCAAAGTGCTGGGATTAGAGGCACGAGCCACCTCGCCCAGCCTGGGGAGCAGAGTTTTTAAGGACAACTTGGTGGGTCAGGGGAAGCCAGTGAGCCAGGAGTGCTGATTGGTCAGAGATGAAATCATAGGGAGTCTAAGCTGTCTTCTTGCGCTGAGTCAGTTCCTGGGTGGGGGCCATAAGATCAGATGAGCCAGTTAATCAATCTGGGTGGTACCGGCTGATCCATCAAGTGCAGGGTCGACAAAATGTCTCAAGCACTGATCTTAGGAGATGTTTAGGGAGGGTCAGAATCTTGTAGCCTTCACCTGCATGACTCCTAAACCGTAATTTCTTTCTTTCTGTTTTGTTTTCTTTTTTTTCTTGAGACAGAGTTTCGCTCTTGTTGTCCAGGCTGGAGTGCAATGGCGCAATCTCGGCTCACTGCAATTTCTGCCTCTGGGGTTCAACCCATTCTCCTGTCTCAGCCTCCTGAGTAGCTGGGATTACAGGCACATGCCACCACGCCCAGCTACTTTTTGTATTTTTAGTAGAGATAGGGGTTCATGATATTGGTCAGGCTGGTCTCGAACTCCTGACCTCAGGTGATCCGCCCGCCTCTGCCTCCCAAAGTGCTGGGATTACAGGCATGAGCCACTGCACCCAGCCTAAACCATAATTTCTAATCTGTGTTAGTCCTACAAAGGCAATCTAGTCCCCAGGCAAGAAGGAGGTCTGTTATTGTCTTTGTTTTAAAGGGCTATTAAAACAAAGGGAAAGGGCTATTATTGTCTTTGTTTTAAATTATAAACCAAGTTTCTCCCAAAGTTAGTTCAGCTTAGGCCCAGGAATGAATGACAGCTTGGAGGTTAGAAGCAAAATGGAGTCGGTTAAGTTAGATTTCTTTCACTGTCTCAGTCATAATTTTGCAAAGGCAGTTTCAGTCTCTAACTCCTGCGCTCAAGCAATTCACCCACCTCGGCCTCCCAAAGTGTTGGGATTACAGGCATGAGCAACCATGCCCAACCTGTAAGGCCTTTTTAAAAAAATATAAAATCAGATATGAAGTTTTCTTTGGACTGGGCGTGGTGGCTCACGCCTGTAGTCCCAGCACTTTGGGAGGCTGAAGCACGTGGATCACCTGAGGTCAGGAGTTCGAGACCAGCCTGGCCAACATGGTGAAATCTCATCTTTACTAAAAATAAAAATAAAAACTATCCAGCCGTGGTGATGGGCGCCTGTAATCCCAGCTACTCAGGAGGCTGAGGCAGGAGAATCATTTGAACCTGGGAGGTGGAGGCTGCAGTGAGCCGAGATCTCGCCATCGCAAATCAGCCTGGGCAACAAGAGGGAAACACACAACTCTGTCTCAAAAAAAAAAAAAGGTTTCTTTGAAGAATTGTTGCCAGAAAGTGGTCATGATCCAAACCCCAAGAGAGAGTTCTTGGATCTCATGCAACAAAGAATTCAAGGCAAATCCATAAAGTGAAAGCAAGTTTATTAGAGAAGTTAAGAAACGAAAGAAGGTTACTCCAAAGGCAGTGCAGCCCTGAGGGCTGCTGTTTGCCCATTGTTAAGTTATTTCTTGATTATATGCTAAACAAGAGGCAAATTATTCATGCCTCCCCTTTTTAGATCATATAGGGTAACTTCCTGATGTTTCCATGGCATTTGTAAACTGTCAGGTTGCTGGTGGGAGTGTAGCAGTGAGGACAACCAGAGGTCATTCTCATCGCCATCTTTGTTTCGGTGGGTTTCAGCCGGCTTCTTTACTGCAACCTCTTTTATCAGCAAGGTCTTTGTGACCTATGTCTTGTGCCGATCTCCTATCTCATCCTATGACCTAGAATGCCTCAAGTGTCTGGGAATGCAGCCCAGTACGTTTCAGCCTCATTTTATCCAACCCCTATTCAAGATGGAGTTGCTCTGGTTCAAATGTCTCTGACAGAATGGAAGTCCCCTTTCTATTTGTTTGTTTTAAAAAATAAAGTCAGGCCGGGCGCGGTGGCTCATGCCTGTAATCCCAGCACTTTGGAAGGCCGAGGCAGGCGGCTCATGAGCCGGGCGCGGCGAGCGCCTGTAGTCCCAGCTACTCGGGAGGCTGAGGCCGGAGAATGGTGTGAACCCGGGAGGCGGAGCTTGCAGTTAGCCAAGATCGCACCACTGCACTCCATCCAGCCTGGGCGACAGAGCGAGACTCCGTCTCAAAATAAATAAATAAATAAATAAATAAATAATTAAAAAAATAAAAAATAAAGTCAGAGTTTCTGCTATATTGCCCAGGCTGGAGTTCAGTGACTATTCACTGACGAGATCACTGTGCACTATAACCTGGAAATCCTACAGTCTTGAACTCCTGGACTCAAGGGATCCTCCTGCTTCAGCCTCCAGCGTAGCTGGGACTACAGGCACGCACCACCACATCAGGCTCAGAAGATCACTTTTAATTAGCAAACGGCTCACTAGCAAGATTTGAAAAACTTCAAAAAGCTAAGTATAACTCTCAAATCGAATGCATTTTTACTTTGCACATACTGTTCTCAAGATTCTGGCATCCAAGAAAAAAAAAATAATACTTCTCCTAGGGCTAATAAATTTGTAAAGACTTGCTATTACATGACTTGTTTCAAATGTTTGCAGCATATTGTTTATATAAATTATAATGGTTTCCGTGAAATTTAATAATGGTTCAAAATTTGTATCATTTGAGATAAGTGAGGCATCAGTGAATTTACTATGCTTTTCCCACGTTGTGTTATATTCAAAGACAAAAATCTATGGCTAGGTATGGTGGCATACGCCTGTAGTCCCAACTACTCCTCAGACTGAGGCGAGAGAATCGCTTGAACCCGGGAGGCAGAGGTTGCAGTGAGCTGAGATCGTGCCACTGCACTCCAGCCTGGGTGACAGAGCAAGACTTTATCTCAAAAATTTAAAAATAGGCCGGGAGCAGTGGCTCACACGTGTAATCCCAGCACTTTGGGAGGCCGAGGCAGGCGGATCACGAGGTCAAGAGATTGAGATCATCCTGCCCAACCTGGTGAAACCCCGTCTTTACTAAAAATACAAAAATTAGCAGGGCATTGTGGTTCGCACCCGTGGTCCCAGCTACTCAGAAGGCTGAGGCAGGAGAATCGCCAAGATCACGCCACTGCACTCTGGCCTAGGCGACAGAGCAAGACTCCATCTCAAAAAAAAAAAAAAAAAAAAATAGAAACACAGTGGCTCACACCAGTCAGTAATCCCAGCACTTTGGGAGGCCAAGGCAGGTGGATCACGAGATCAAGAGTTCGAGACCAGCCTGACCAACTTGGCAAAACCCCATCACAAAAAACAAACAAACAAAAAAACTCTCGGCAAAACAGAGCAAGGCTCCATCTCAAAAAAAAAAAAAAAAAAAAAATTAGCCAGGCGCGATGGCGGTTGCCTGTAATACCAGCTACTCAAGAGGCTGAGGCAGGAGAATCACTTGAACCCGGGAGCTGGAGGTTGCACTGAGCTGACATCGCACCATTGCACTCCAGCCTGGGTGACAGAGCGCGACTCTGTCTCAAAAAAAAAAAAAAGAAAGTGATCACATTTTGGGAATGCATTGACTATACCCTAAAAAGCTCAGGAGAATATACAGTTGAGGCTGGGTGTGATGGCTAACGCCTGTAATCCCAGCACTTTGGGAGGGCGAGGCAGGTGGATCACCTGAGGACAGGAGTTTAAGACCAGCCTGGCCAACATGGTGAAACCCCATCTCTACAAAAATACAAAAATTAGCCGGGCATGATAGTGGGTGCCTGTAATCCCAGCTATTTGGGAGGCTGAGGCAGGAAAATCGCTTGAACCCGGGAGGCGGAGGCTGCAATGAGCCGAGATGGCGCCATGGCACTCCAGGCTGGGTGACAGAGCGAGACTCCGTCTTGAAAAAAATGACATCACTATACTTCACATGGGCTCATTTATTGTCATTATTATTATTATTTTTTGAGACAGAGTCTCACTCTGTCGCCCAGGCTGGAGTGCAGAGGTGTGATCTCAGCTCACTGCAACCTCCACCTCCCGGGTTCAAGTGATTCTCCTGCCTCAGCCTCCTGAGTAGCTGAGACTACAGGTGCCCGCCACCACGCCCAGCTAATTTTTTGTATTTTTAGTAGAGACCGGGTTTCACCATATTGGCCAGGATGGTCTTGATCTCTTGACCTCGTCATCCGCCCGCTTCGGCCTCCCAAAGTGCTGGGATTACAGGTGTGGCGCTCATGTATTTTGTAATATATTTTCTTTTCTTCTTTCTTTTTTTTTTTTGTGTGTGTCTGTGTGTGTGTGTGTAGAGGCATGGTCTAAATATGTTGCCTGGGCTAGTCTCAAACTCCTGGGCTTAAGTAATCCACCCACTTTAGCCTCCTAAAGTGTTGGGATTACAGGCATGAGCCATTGTGCCCAGCCTGTTATAGACTTTAAAATAAATTTGTTTATGTATTTGCTTATACCCTGCACACCCTAAGTGCAGTGTAGCCTCAACATGTCCAAGCAGAGCCCTTGACCTTCTCCACAAAACTCCTCCTCTTTTGGTGCCTGTCTCCCTGTGACTGACTTTGCCAGCCACCCAGTTGCTCAAGCCAAAAATCTGACATTCTCCCTCCAACTACCTTCTCTGCTCGCCCCACCCATTTCATGTCTTATCCATCTCCAGGTCCTGCTGGTTCTGCCTGTTAAGAACCTTCCACATCTCTGACCTCTCTGCATCTTCACAACTACACTTTTGTTCAGGTCCTCTTGCCTCTTGCCTGGATGACTACAGTGGTGTCCTAACTATCTTTCCTCATCCTCACCCAATTACTGCCAATCTATTCTCCATTTTGTAGCTAGCGTGTTCTTTCAAAAATGCAAATACCTTCACATCACTGCCTAAATTAAAGAGCACCCCCTCTCATTGCTGAAGTGTAAAGTCCCATGATCTGATATGTTCCCTTATCAACTAACAAGGGCCCTACAGTTAAGAAAACCAAAGTTACTTCTGGCTGGGAGTGGTGGCTCATGCCTGTAATCCCAGCACTTTGGGAGGCTGAGGCGGGTGGATCATGAGGTCAGGAGTTCAAGATCAGCCTGACCAACATGGTGAAACCCTGTCTCTACTAAAAGTACAAAAAATTAGCTACGCATGGTGGCGGGCGTCTGTAATCCCAGCTACTCAGGAGGCTGAGGCAGAGAATTGCTTAAACCTGGGAGGCGGAGGTTGCAGTGAGCCGAGATCGCACCACTGCACTCCAGCCTGGGCGACAGAGGGAGACTCCATCTCAAAAAAAAAAAAAAAAGAAAAGAAAAAAAGAAAACTAAAGTTACCTACAGGTAGAGGGTTCAGAGTCTGGCTGGCATGGCAAATTTCTAAATTCCTATGGCTATAAGAAAAGCCATAGTCTTACTATAAACTCTCTAACAATAGGGAGTTAGGAGCTATCAGACCCCTCTTAACTATGATTTACAACCCAGATCACTACAACTCCGAGTAGACGAAGGACAGGCCTTCCAAACATTCTGTTTTTATTTTATTTTATTTTATTTTATTTTTTTGAGACGGAGTCTCACTCTGTCGCCAGGCTGGAGTGCAGTGGTGCGATCTTGGCTCACTGCAACCTCTGCCTCCCGGGTTCAAGTGATTCTCCTGCCTCAGCCTCCTGAATAGCTGGGACTACAGGTGTGCCACCATGCCCGGCCAATTTTTTTTGTATTTTCAGTAGAGATGGGGTTTCACCATGTTGGTCAGGCTGTTCTTGAACTCCTGACCTCAGGTGATCCACCAGCCTTGGGCTCCCAAAGTGCTGGGACTACAGGCGTTAGCCACCATGCCTGGCTGAATGTGATCGCCTTCAATGATGGCAGCACCCCTACATTTTACACAGGACCACCAGTAGGGTGGATAGGTGAGCGGCCTGTAGGTGGAATGAGAAGGGCAGTCCCTTTCTTTTCCTTCTTTTTTTAGTAGAGAAGTGGTCTCACTATGTTGCCCAGGCTGATGCTGAATTCCTGGTCTCAAGCAATCCTCCCACCTTGGCCTTCCAAAGTGCTGGGATTATAAGGGTAAGCCACTGCACCAGGCCAAGCAGTCACTTTGACATAAAGAAAGTCCATCCCTTGACCAGCACAGCTAACCTGGGAGAGCAGAAGGTCAGCACATCAATTGAAGAGAAGAGAGGACATTAATGGGAAGAGCCTGTTGGGTTGTGGAACAACCTTCCTGAAAGCTTTGAGAGGAGATAGGCAGAGCTATTCCCAGAGGACAATCTGGCATGTAGCACAGAGGCTGTGGAGTGGATGGGATGACTTTCCTGGGTGCCAGTGAAGCATGTGGCGCGACACCATCAGTGAGGGACACACAGGACGAAGGACTCCTTTGACTACCTGCCACTCTAAGGTAACAGAGATACCACCACAGTTGGAACACAAAGAATGGGGGCGGGGGAGCCATCACTAGGACCCACACTTACAGCTCAAGCTTAAGGGTCAAAGTGGACCAGCCGGTAGCCCAATCATGTGCGATCCATAAAAGAAATACCTCTCTGCTAGCAGAATTGATCCTACAAGGCTACAGAACCCCATGAGCGCCCAATGGGAGCGAGTTCTCTGCTGGCACAGGATGGCCCTTGGCTCTGTAGAGTGACTTAGGAAATTTCAAGGAAGATACTCCAAAGTGCAGAGTCCCTTCAAACACAGGGTCCGAGGCAGGGCCCAGGCCACTCAGGCTACTCCACGGTACTCTGTGGAGGCATAGCAACAATGTCTAGGCTGGGTGCAGTGGCTCATGCCTGTAATCCCAGCACTTTGGGAGGCCATGGAAGGCAGATGGCTTGAGTCCAGGAGTTTGAGAAATAACAGTGGCTTAAACAAGAGACAAGTGAATTTTTCCTGTAAGCAAATTCTGAGATAACCAGTCCAGGACTGGTGCAGAACTTCCAAGATTACCAGGAAGGCAAGACATTTCTAATTTGTGGTTCTTTTTTCTTTTTTTTTTTTTTTTTTGAGATGGAGTCTCACTCTGTCGCCTAGGCTGGAGTGCAGTGGCACAATCTTGGCTCACTGCAAACTTCCCCTCCCGGGTTCAAGCGATTCTCCTGCCTCAGCCTCCCAACTCCCAAGTAGCTGGGATTACAGGCACATGCCACCACGCCCAGCTAATTTTTGTATTTTTAGTAGAGACGGGGTTTCACCGTGTTGGCCAGGCTGGTCTCAAACTCCTGACCTCAGGCGATCTGCCCTCCTTGGCCTCCCAAAGTGCTGAGATTAGAGGTGTGAGCCACCACGCCCGGTGAAGCTTGTGGTTCTTCTATTCTCAACAAATGGCATGGTTTGACGGGGAAGGGCATACTCCTTCCTTTAGGGCTCTCCCTGAAATGTGGATATATTACTTCCATTTGTGCTCTATTGGCCAGAGCACTGTCCATTGCCATACCTAGTCTCAAGAGAGGCTGGGAGTTGAGATCTTTTTTGGTGGCCATGTGTCTTGCAAAAAAAAAAATCTAGGGTTTATTAACAGGAAAAGATTGGAGAAACAATACTGGGGGGAAACTAACAGCCTCTATCAAAGGCTCAGTGTCAGTATCAGTATTATGCTCAGCTGTGAGAGGCTGGACCAAGGTTGAGAGCCTGAGCCACAGCACCCTGTGTGGGCAGGACACCCCTGGGCAGGCCTGTAGCACTCGAGGTGGCCGGGCAGAAAACCTTGCCCTGTGGGGATCTCTATAGCAGATGGTGGCAAACTGCATGATGCAGAAGAAAAGGAGTGTTTACTCTTTTTCCCCATGTTGCCCAGGCTGGTCTTGAATTCCTGGGCTCACTCCAGCACAGACTTTGCCCCTGTAAACCTTCACCCTTCCCCATCCTGGAAGTAGGGAATCCCGACCAACTGACAGATTTGTAGGAGACTCCTGCTCCTATCCCCAGGGTAAAGCCTTCATGGTCTGCCCCCTCCTACCCATCCCGCCAGCCTCAGCTCCCCAGACTGTTCCGTGCTGCAGCCCTTCTCAGTTCTGCACACTTGATGAGCCCGGCTCTGGCCTGTCGTGCCCTGCTGCTGCTGCTCAGGGATACGTACAATTGTACAGACTGTGCTAAGAACTTCACATGCATGATCTCTTTTAGTTTTTGTCGCTGCCTCTCTGCTCATCTGTACTCCTCACTGGGCAGGAACTTTGAGAAATGGAGGCCCACATCTGTTGTGTTCACTGCTGTAATCCCAGCAAGCAGCATGGTGCGGCACCTTCACAGGGCCTCTGGCTCCAGATCGTTGGCACACAGTAAGTGTTTCTTTTTTTAAAATTATTATTATTATTTTTATCGAGAAGGAGTCTCGCTGTGTTAGCCCAGGCTGGAGTTCAGTGGTGCGATCTTGGCTCACTGCAACCTCCGCCTCCTGGGTTCAAGCAATTCTCCTGCCTCAGCCTCCTGAATAGCTGGGATTAGAGGCCCGCCACCACGCCCAACTAATTTTTATATTTTTAGTAGAAACGCGGTTTCACCATGTTGGTCAGGCTGGTCTCGAACTCCTGACCTCATGATCCGCCTGCCTCACCCTCCCAAAGTGCTGGGATTACAGGCGTGAGCCACTGCACCCAGCCATAAGTGTTTCTTATGTTGAATTTGCACCTTGTATAAAAATGAACCAAGACATTATGAAATACAGTCACTTTTTTTTTTTTCCTTTTGTGACTAATTTTTCTTAAGGAGCAGTGATCAGGGAAAGGAAGATGTTTCCCTAGAACTCCTCTAGAGGGCATATCTTCCCTGGATCTTTGACATTGATTTTCGGAGCGGTAATGGATCTTACACAAGGAGTGGCCATCCCCTAGGAGGCCTGTCCACGCAGATGGAGGGTGTGGTGGTGCTGAGTGATGTCTCCCTGGCAGCTTGGACTGGAGACCCTAGAGGGAGGTCTTCATGTCCAAAGGCAGGGATCTGGAAGAAGGGGAATGTGTGTGCACAGACTGCCCCCTGCCCTTTTTTTTTTTTCTTTGAAGACAGGATCTCACTCTGTCACCCAGGCTGAAGTACAGTGGTGTGATCATTACTCACTGCAGCCTCGACCTCCCAGGCTCAGGTGATCCTCCCACTTCAGCCTCCCGAGTAGCTGGGACTACACCTATGTGCCACCATGCCTGGCTAATTTTTTGTAGAGACAGGGTTTCCCCATGTTTCCCAGGCTAGTCTTGAACTCCTGGGCTCAAGCAATCCACCCACTTTGGCCTCCCAAAGTCCTGGGACTACGGGCATGAGCTACTGTGCCTGGTCTAGACTCCCCCTTTTTTTTTTTTTTAATGAGATGGAGTTTCACTCTTGTTGCCCAGGCTGGAGTCCAATGGCGCAATCTTGGCTCACCGCAACCTCTGCCTCCCGGGTTCCAGAAATTCTCCTGCCTGAACCTCCTGAGTAGCTGGGATTACAGGCATGCACCACCACGTCTGGGTAGTTTTGTATTTTTAGTAGAGATAGGGTTTCTCCATGCTGGTCAGGCTGGTCTCAACTCCCCACCTCAGGTGATCTGCCAGCCTCAGTCTCCCAAAGTGCTGGGATTACAGATTACAGGCATGAGCCACCGTGCCCGGCTTTTTTTTTTAGGCGGAGTTTTGCTCTTGTCGCCCAGGCTGGAGTGGAATGGTGCGATCTTGGCTCACTGCAACCTCCGCCTCCTGGGTTCAAGCAATTCTCCTGCCTCAGCCTCCCAAGTAGCTGGGATTACAGGCACCCACCACCACGCCCAGCCAATTTTTGTATTTTTAGTAGAGATGGTGTTTCACCATATTGGCCAGGCTGGTCTTGAACTCCTGACTTCAGGTGATCCACCTGACTCAGCCTCTCAAAGTGCTGGGATTACAGGCGTGAGCCACCACACCGGGCCTAGACTCCCATTTTTATTTAACGTCTTCCATTTCTTATCAGAGAAATGATAATAAAATATAGAAAAGCACAATTCTTTATTTTAACCCCACCTCTCGCTCACTTAAATGACCAGTTATTTCCAAGTCTGGATCTGAAAATTTCTATTATGAGAGACTCTCCAGGACCTTCATTCAGTTCCACGTGTAGTTGTGACATTGTGTGATATTGGCACACGGTTGGAAATAACACTTGTGTAGCAGTTTGAGATGAAATATAGGCAATGCCTGGCTTCTGAAAGTGCCTTCAGGCCTGATGTTACACAAGCATTCTCAGCCCAACTTGCCTCCCCTCCTATTTCTATCTCTACCTTTAGCTGGGTATTTGGATAGTTCAGGGGAAAAAGGGGTAAAGATGAGATGACAAAAGACACCCCAGCCGCTGGGCCCAGCACTTTGGGAGGCTGAGGTGGGTGGATTACTGAGGTCAGGAGTTCGAGACCAGCCTGGCCAACATGGCAAAACCCTGTCTCTACAAAAAATACAAAATTTAGCTGGGCATGGGGTGCAGGCTTGCAGTCCCAGCTATTTGCGGGGGGAGGGGAGCTGAAGCAGGAGAATAGCTTGAACTTGCAAGGTGGAGTCTGCAGTGAGCCGAGATTGTGCCACTGCACTCCAGCCTGGGTGACAAAGTAAGACCCTGGCTAAAAACAAACACACACAAAAATATATCATTATGCATTTCTGAAAGCAAATGTGCTATAATACTGCTTTGATCTGAATGTCCCCCAAAATTCATATGTTGACATTTAATCTCAACTTTGGTGGTATTAAGAGGTGAGGTTGTTTGGGAAGTAATTAAGTCATGAGGACTCCACTCCCATGAATGAATTGAGGGAAAGGGCTGGAGGGAAGGGCTGGAGGGAACTAGCTTCGGCCCTTTTTTGTCCTTCTACCATGTGAGGACACAGCATTCATCTCCTCCGGAGGATGCAACAACAAGGCTCTATGTGAAGAAGGAACCAGGTCCCTCACCAGACACTGTACCTGCCGGCACCTTGATCTTTCACTTCCCAGCCCTCCAGATCTGTGAGAAACACATTTCTGTTGTTTATAAATTACTCTGTCTCAGGTATTTTGTTATAGTAGCACAAACAGACTTAGACAAATAACGTTTTATGTTTACAACCCATAGGAGGAAAATTCTGGATTTGGAATCTATCTTGGCAAGATAATACATAGATATGATTATAAGAAAATCAGTGAGGTCATAAACAGTGGCTTACCAACATAGGTTGGTATACAAATATAACTTCACATAACAAATATAGTTGACTTGAAGTAAACAAACACAATCTACTATAGCATTCTGACAAATGTAGTTTCCTATAACAAATAATCAAAGCCTTAAGTTTCAGGTTACAGTTTTCAGAGTTAGTAGTAGCCAATTACTGCCAGGCATAGTGGCTCAAACCTGTAATCCCAGCACTTTGGGAGGCCAAGGTGGGAGGACTGCACGAGCCCAGGAGTTTGAGACCAGCCTGAGCAACATGGTGAGACCCTGTCTCTATTTTATTTCATTAAAAATTTTAAAATATTGGCCAGGAGCAGTGGCTCATGCCTGTAATCTCAGCACTTTGGGAAGCTGAGGCAGGCGGATCACTTGAGATCAGGAGTTCCAGACCAGCCTAGCCAACATGGTGAAACCCCCTCTCTACTAAAAATACAAAAATTAGCCTGGCATGGTGGTGCACACCTGTAATCCCAGCCACTTGGGAGACTGAGTCAGAGTCGTTTGAACCTGGGAGGCAGAGGATGCAGTGAGTCCAGATCGCACCACTGCACTCCAGCCTGAGTGATAGAGTAAGACTCTGTCTTAAAATAAATAAAAAAAAATTATTTAAAAAAAGAAGTAGCCTATCTCAGAGGCTACGCGACTTTATTACAGTTTTAAAAATGGAATGGTAGGCCAGGTGCGGTGGCTCACACCTATAATCCCAGCACTTTGGGAGGCTAAGGCGGGCAGATCACGAGGTCAGGAGTTCGAGACCAGCCTGGCCAATATGGTGAAACCCCGTTTCTACTAAAAATGCCAAAATTAGCTGGGCATGGTGGCGGATGTCTGTAATCCCAGCTACTCAGGAGGCTGAGGCAGGAGAATCGCTTGAACCCGTGAGGCAGAGGTTGCAGTGAGCCGAGAACACGCCACTGCACTCCAGCCTGGGGGACAGTGCAAGACTCCGTCTCCTTGGCCAGGCACAGTGGCTCATGCCTGTCATCCCAGCACTTTGGGAGGCTGAGGCGGGTGGATCAGGAGGTCAGGAGATCGAGACCATCCTGGCTAACATGGTGAAGCCCCATCTCTATTAAAAATATAAAAAATTAGCTGGGCGTAGTGGCGGGCGCCTGTAGTCCCAGCTACTTGGGAGGCTGAGGCAGGAGAATGGCATGAACCCCGGAGGCAGAGCTTGCAGCAAGCCGAGATTGCGCCAGAGCCAGACTCTGTCTCAAAAAAAAAAAAAAAAAAAAAAAGACTCCATCTCCAAAAAATAAAAAATTTTAAAAATGGAATGGTAGTTACCTTTGCTAGAGACTGAGCATGCATAAAAGTAATCTTAAATAACTTTTTCGCCTTTGGCCAAATGTTGGTTCATTGTGATTTGGAGTCTACCATTACTATAACTGTATCTGTACCTATACCAATATCTGTACCTGTACCTATACCTACATATGTACTTATACCTATACCATCTGTCCTCCCCTGAAAGACCTCATCAAAGTTCTCATCTTGCAATGTTTCCTGTTAAATATCATCATGACTACTTTTAACCTATTTGAATCAAGGCTGAGTTACAGCCTTTTAAATTTTTGAATAATTTTTTTTTTTTTTGAGATGGAGTATTGCCCTCGTTGCCCAGGCTGGAGTGTGGTGGCACAATCTCGGCTCACCAAAACATCCACCTCACGGGTTCAAGCAATTCTCCTGCCTCAGCCTCCTGAGTAGCTGGAATTACAGGCACATGCCACAATGCCCGGCTAATTTTTTTTGTATTTTTAGTAGAGATGGGATCTCACCATGTTGGCCAGGCTGGTCTGGAACTCCTGACCTCAAGTGGTCCTTCTGCCTTGGCCTTCCAAAGTGCTGGGATTATAGGCATGATCCACCATGCCTGGCAATTTTTTTTTAAGAGCACAAATCCACGTTTATTTATTGACTTTTCTTTTTTCTTTCTTCTCTTTTTTTCTCTTTTTCTTTTTTTTTTTTTTTTTTGAGACGGAGTCTCGCTCTGTTGCCCAGGCTAGAGTGCAGTGGCACGATCTCGACTCACTGCAACCTCCACCTTCCAGGTTCAAGCAGTTCTCTGCCTCAGCCTCCCAAGTAGCTGGGATTACAGGTGCCCGCCACCACACCCGGCTTTTTTGTATTTTTAGTAGAGACGGGGTTTCACCATCTTGGCCAGGCTGGTCTTGAACTCCTGACCTCGTGATTCACCCGCCTCAGCCTCCCAAAGTGCTGGGATGACAGGCGTGAGCCACCGCACCCGGCCTATTGACTTTTCATTAGTTTAAATCCTTGAAGGGTACAGCATCACTCGGATTCTGTGTCCAATAGCCTTAGTGGGAAGATTGCTTCAGAATTTGGCACAAATCATGTCACTGTTTCCGTGGGCCTGCCTCAGCCTCCCGAGTAGCTGGGATTACAGGCGGCCGCCACCACGCCTGGCTAACTTTTTTGGTTTTTTTTTTTTTTTTTTTTTTTTGAGACGGAGTCTCGCTCTGTCTTCCAGGCTGTAGTGCAGTGGCGCGATCTCCGCTCACTGCAAGCTCCGCCTGCCGGGTTCACGCCATTCTCCTGCCTCAGCCTCCTGAGTAGCTGGGACTACAGGCGCCCGCCACCACGCCCGGCTAATTTTTTTTGTATTTTTAGTACAGAGAGTTTTTCACCATGTTAGCCAGGATGGTCTCGATCTCCTGACCTCGTGATCCGCCCGCCTCGGCCTCCCAAAGTGCTAGGATTACAGGTGTGAGCCAACGCGCCCGGCCACCAAATAGTGTAATTTTTACAGTTACACTTTGTAACTAGTGTTGCTGAAGACGGAAATGCAATTGATTTTGAAAATTGATTTTTTCCTCTTACTGATTTTTTATCCATCAACCTTGCTAAACTTATTTATCAATTCTATCTGAATTTTATTTTAGGGATGCTGCACATGCAATAATTTCATCTGCGAATATTAACATTAATGTTTCTTGTAGTCCTTATATATTTGTTGCTTATTGGACTGGCTACAACTTCCATTGTTTTATTGATGAGGATTATTGAGAGCAGGCATCCTTGCCTTGTTCCCCATCTTGAAAGGAACGCTTTCAACATTTCCCCATTATGGTGATGTGTTTTGCGAAATTTTTGAAGATGTCCTTTATCAGCTTCTGGAGTTTTAAAAAAAATATCAACGGGTGTTGAATATTTTGAGTGACTTTGCTGCATCAATTGAGATGAATACATTTTCCCCCTTTAATCTGCTAATGGGTCTATATTTCTCCATTCCATTTAAATTTTTTTTTAATTTGATAAATATCTTTTGCTATATGTTTCTTCTCAGGTCTCCCTTCTCAGTTATCCCCCTTTACCTTCCATTGTTGGTTTTCTCTAGTTTCTTCCTTTTCTTTTTACTGTGTTCTCTTCAAGCTCTTGCTTTTTGGAGTTTTCCCAGGATATCAAAGGTTGGGGGGATGGCAACATGGTTTTCAGACAGTGTGTCTCCCCACAATCTGCTTCTCTCTACAAGCTTGTTTGAAGCCAAGTTAAAGCAATGGATAGAAGACGGCAGCGCGGGTGTCAGACCTGCCAATTTCCAACTGCACACCAAATCCCCGAACATATGCTTGAGGCCCCTGCCTTTCGGTTTCATAAATAAAACCCTGTCCTGACTACCTCCAGGATTGGATGGAAACTCGGATGAGTAAATATGGTAGAACGACTTTGCAAACTAGCACCCTATTCACACGTAAGGGGTTGCTCTTGTCACCGAGACTGTTAGAGGCAACGTGAGTTAACAGAAATAGCTTGGATTTTGAAGCTAATGGAATCTAGATCCATTCCTAACCAGCAGTGTGACCTTATTGTGTAATCTTTCTGAACCTGTCTCCATCCATCTCTACAAAGAATGTGGCACAATGTAGGAACTCAGTGAATTTTCGTGATTAAAAGACGAGATAATACAGGTGCACAATCTGCAAAACATAAAATACTCCATAAATGGAAGCAGTAAATCTTCCCCGAGCTCGAGACTCCAAAGGCCCTGAGCCCAGTACCAGTAACAGCACCCAGGTAAGTAGGCTGGCTGAGAGAAGAGGGCTATAAAGAAAAGTTCTTTCCTGAGCTTTGAATCCCCACTGTCAGGCTTCAATGGAGCGCAAAAATTCCTAAATTTGGTGAGAAATGGCAACATTACCAGGGAATGAACAGACCAGGCCACTCACATCCACGTGAGGGCTCCAGGAGCCACTTCCGGGCCCAGTCAACCACGACCAGGAGAGGCAGCGCTGGAGCCTCAATCACGTCGACGGAAAACAAGTGCGCTCCCTACTGCAGTCACCAGGAGGCGCTAGTCCCGCCTGTCTCCCGGCACGGGTCCTCGTTTGCGCACGCGTCATTTCTTTCCTCCAGCGTCCCCGCCCCTTCTCCTCCGGCCGCCACCAGTTTCGCTTGGCCAGTTGCGTTCGTGCGGCGACGTCCACGCATTTTCTGACGTAGCGAGCGACGGCGGGGAGCCGAGCGGAAGTCCAGCACTATTGCCGCTAGAGGAGGGGAGGGGTGAGAAGCATAAGTGGCACCGGAAGTGGAATTAATCCGCCTACCTCTCCTGCGCCTGCGAAACAGAAAAGACAAGGCGCCTGTCGGGCGGGGTGTGGCTTCGGGTGGCGGAGAACGCTGCGATTGGCCCTCGGCTGTGGCGACAGCGACGATTGGTCCCTGCGTGCAGAGCGCGGTGAGAGTGGGTGGTGGCCGTTGGAATTCAAAAGTGGCGGGTGTGGCGCGGGGCTGGTAGCGGCCGGAGCCGTGCGAGTTCTCTACCCTGCTTCGCGAGCGGGCGAGAGAACGCGAGTCCCAGGATCCCCGGCACCCAGTTCTCTTCCACTGCATTCCCCCGGCGCGTGTGGGACCGAGGTGGACATGGATCCGCAGGTGAGTAGGGGCGGCGCAGGTGTCCTGCCCTGGGGATGGGGACGACGGCTGACCGCTCCGATGCTGTCGCGCCCCCGGCTCCCGGTCGGCCTTTGTCATGTCTACCGGGAGAGCGAAGGTCCGTGCGCCCCCGCACAAGTGGAAAGGGGCGGAGGCAGGAGTGGAGACGGCTTAGAGCACCCGGGGAGGTCGGAAGGCACGTCTGTCTGCCCTCCCCTAGCTTCAAGTTTCTGGAGCCCCTCCCTTAACTTTCATGTCTCCGAGATTTCTCATTTCGAATTCTCAGGCTCGTCTGACACATTTCCACTTCTTTATTCCTACTCAGGGTGTGATTGCAGTGTGTAAGAAGGGAGAGTTCTGATATGACTTCTTCCTTTTGGGGACATGGTGTCTGAGGCCACATCCTTGCTGAGGTCCTTTTGTGTTAATCGCCTCTCCTTATCACTGCTGCTTCGGAGTGTAGGAAAGGGAGAAGGAGAGTAGGGTAATCTGGGCCAAAAGACTTCTCATTCTCTCTCTCCTTTCCCAAATTGTGCAGATTCCTGCCCAATGAAACTGATTGATTTAGTTCTTTCTCTTAAATGGTGCCCTGCTGCACCCCACAACCATATGCAGCTTCCTGTCTCCAGTGAAGAGAGATGAATGTGTGTGACAGCTGGAGTGTACTTATCTCTGGTGCCAGGAAAGGTCTCCTGCCTGAATCCTTTGTTTACTAGTATTTCACGTTCAGGTTTCCCTGAAGTTAGGATTCAGCCTTAAGAGAGATTCTTTCTCTCGTGACAACCAGAGAGCAGAGTAGTATTATGTGACAGTAAGAAGTAGTAAAAGCCTTCTCAGATCTATTAATCAAGTATTTATTGAGCACCTACTACATGCTAGGCGTGGTTGTAGGTACTTAGGATGCAGCAGTGAACAAGGGACAAATCGTTGCCATCGTGGAGCTGCCATTCTATGGGGATACAGACAATAAATGTAATAAATGAATTATATAACTGCCAGAAGGCCGTAAGTGCTGTGGAGAAAAGGAGAAATTCAAGGTTGAGGACATAGGGGAGGCCAACTGGCGGGTTAGAGTATTAAATAGGGTGGTCTCAGTAACCCCCATGGAAAAGATGAGTTGAATAAAGACTTGAAGGAAGTGAGGGAGACAGACAAGCAGATAGTGAGGGAAGAACATTTCAGGCAGAGGGAATCTGCTAGAGCAGAGTCCCTAAAGAGTTGTAAGGAGGGAAGTGTGGCTGGAATGAAGTGAGCAAGGGGAAAAGTTGTGGGAAAGGAAGTCAGGTAATGGGTAGTGGGGTTGCTGATCACAGTTTGTCCTTGTGGGGGTCGTTGTGAGGACTTTTACTCTGAGTGAGATGGGGAATCATTGGATGATTTTAAGCAGAGAGATAAGATTTGTTGGGTCCACCAGATTTTCGTAACCATAGCACCATTGCCTTTTTTTTTTTTTTTTTTTTTTGAGACAGGTTCTCTTTCTCTGTTCCCAGGCTGGAGTGCAGTGGCATGATCATGGCTCACTGGAGCCTTAACTTCCTGGGCTCAAGTGATCCTCCCACCTCAGCCTCCTGAGTAGCTGGGACTACAGGCAGCTGCCACCATGCCTGGCTGATTTTTTGTATTTTTAATAGAGACAGGGTTTTGCCATGTTGCCCAGGCTGGTCTGGAACTAACTCCTGGGCTCAAGCAATTCGCCTGCCTCGGCCTCCGAGAGTGCTGGGATTACAGGCATGAGCCACCGTGCCCTGCAACATTTTTTTTTTTTTTTTTGAGAAGTAGTCACGCTCTGTCGCCAGCCTGGAGTGCAGTGGCGCGGTCTCGGCTCACTGCAACCTCCGCCTCCCGGGTTCAGGCGATTCTCCTGCCTCAGCCTCCCGAGTAGCTGGGACTACAGGCGCCTGCCACCACGCCCGGCTAATTTTTTGTATTTTTAGTATAGACAGGGTTTCACCGCGTTAGCCCGGATGGTCTCAATTTCCTGACCTCATGATCCTCCCACCTCGGCCTCCCAAAGTGCTCGGATTACAGGCATGAGCCACTGCACCTGGCCAACATTTTTTATTGTCGTGACTAGGTGGGGGGTTGCTACTGGCATCTAGTGGGTAGAGGGCAGGGATGCTGCTAGGCATCTGACAGTGTACAGGACTGCATTGGACATTGTCAAATGTCACCTTGGGGATAAAATCACCCCCAGTTGAGAACCACTGGTTTATGATAATCTAGGTGCCAGATGATGGTGTCTTAGGTCAGGGTGATAGCAGTGGAAGAAACAGTAAAAAGTGATTGGATTCTGGATATATTTTGAAGGTACAATCAGCCATGCTTTGCTGACAGATTAGATGTGGTATGTAGGAGAAAGAGAGGACTCTGGGTTTTTGGCTTGAGCAACTGAAAGATGGAGTTATATCAATTGAGATGGAGAAAGCTGCAAAAGGAGCAAGTTCAAAGCAGGGTTGGACATCAAGAGGTCAGTTATTAGACTTCCAAATGGAGATTTTTTTTGATACGGAGTCTCTCACTCTGTTGCCCAGGCTGGAGTGCAGTGGTGTGATCTCAGCTCACTGCAACTTCTACCTCCCAGCTTCAAGCAATCCTCCCACCTCAATCTCCCGAGTAGCTGGGATTACAGGCACGTGCCAGCACACCTGGCTAATTTTTGTATTTTTAGTAGAGACAGGGTTTTGCCATGTTGGCCAGGCTGGTCTCGAACTCCTGAACTCAAGTGATCCGCCCGCCTCGGCCTCCCAAAGTGCTGGGATTACAGGCATGAGGCACCACTCCCAGCCTTAAATAGCGATGTTGACGATGCAGTTCAGTATAGGTGCAGGATCGAGGTCTGAGCTGGACATATAAATTTGGAAACTGTCAGCATATCAATGATATTTAAAGGCATGGGAGTGGATAGTGAGTATAGATAGAGAATGCTGTTAAAATCTGGAGAGATGAGGAGGACCTGCCAGTGAGGTAAGAAAGAGTGGTCTCCTGGAAGCTAACTGAAGAAAGCCTATTAAGGAAAAGGGAGTAATCAGTTGTATCAGATGCTGTTTGATGGGTCAAGAAAATGAAGATAAAGAATTGACTTAGCAACATGAAGTTACTTGTGATCTTGAGGATAGCAATTTCGATGGAATGGTGGGAATGAAAGCCTGATTGCAATGGGCTTAGGAGAGAAATTGGCCACGATGAATACACTAGAGGTAATACTTTAGAGTTTTGCTGCGAAAGGCGGCAAGGAAAAAGGATAGTACCTGTTAGGGAAAGCAGAGTTCAGATTCTTTTAGTTTCGAAGAAATAATAGAGTTTGTGGTATGCCAATTGGAGTGATGCCATAGAGTACAAAGCTGATGGTGCAGAGGTGAGAAGGGAGGATTGCTGGAGGAATGTTCCTGAAACTGGGAGGATTTGGCGAGTCCAGGATTTGGTGAGGAGGGATGGGAATGTGATGCATATATGAAAGGGTTGCCTTAGGAGCAGGGCCATCCACCTCTGATCTTGTGGTGAGGTGGATGTAGGCAGGGTTGCATGAATATCTGTTCTTATAGAAGGTTAAGTGCTTATGCTTCTCACTGTGGAAAGTTGGAGGGCATCATTCTAGCTTTATATTAATAGATGGGAAAAATATATATACTGTGGTCTTTGGAGTTGTCCTGAATAAACAAACCTTTAAACACATTTTCTGAACCGGCATAAATTCCAAGGAGGTAGGTCTGTAGCAGATCCACTACGGTAGTGTAGAGAGGAGGAAGGGCACAGGTTATTTTTAAAAATTAGTGTTTGACTTTGGAATACTTAAAGAAAAATTTGGTTTCCATACTATATTTGATTACACTAAATTAAAATAAGCTTTCTTTGTGCACACTTCTGTAGGTGGCAGGAAAAATGCTACCTCTTTTTTTCCCTTTTTATTTTTATAGAAGCCAATGGTATGGATATATCACAGTTTAAGTATTGCCCCACTGATGAACATTCAATTTCATTCCTTCAAAAACTGTAGAGTCCTACCATGTAGCAGACATTGTACTAGGCCCTCTGGTTATATAGTTATGAACAAAACAGATGAATTCTTATGGTGCTCACAGTCTTATGTAGGGGTTATGATAATAAAAACAAAAGAAAACAGTGTATCAGGTTGTTTCATGATTTTTAAAAATAATGATGCTCTGTGAACTTCCTTGAGTAAATCTCACTGTATCACGGGTAGCTCAAACTCACTTTCCCAAAATTGAACTTAGCATCCATGAAACCAATCCTGCTGGGTCCAGTGGCATGTGCTTGTTGTCCTAGGCACTTAAGAGGCTAAGGCAGGAGGATCACTTGAACTCAAAGTTCAAAGCCAGCTTGGGCAACCCTGTCTCAAAAACAAATAAACAAAAAACAACTCTTCAGGTACTCAGATCTCTGTGTTATTTCTTTTCTTTTTCTTTTTCTTTCTTTTCTTTTCTTTTTTTTTGAGACAGGATCTCAATATGTCGCCCAGGCTGGAGTGCTGGAGTGCAGTGGCATGATCACGGCTCACTGCAGCCTTGATCTGGGCCCAAGCCATCCTCCCACCTCAGCCTCCCTTGTAGCTGGGACCACAGGCAAATGTCATCTGGTTCGCTAAGGTGGATGTCTGCCTAGCTTAGCCCTCAAGCTTCTAGAATAGCCCCTTTCAACTAGGTTCCATGAGAATTAATTTCTTTTTTTTTTTTTTGAGACCGGAGTCTCGCTCTGTCACCCAGGCTGGAGTGCAGTGGCACAATCTTGGCTCACTGCAAGCTCCGCCTCCCGGGTTCACGCCATTCTCCTGCCTCAGCCTCCCCAGGAGCTGGGACTACAGGCGCCTGCCACCACGCCCGGCTAATTTTTTGTATTTTTTAGTAGAGACGGGATTTCACCGTGTTAGCTAGGATGGTCTTGATCTCCTGACCTTGTGATCTGCCCGCCTCGGCCTCCCAAAGTGCTGGGATTATAGGCATAAGCCACCGCGCCTGGCCAAGTTCTTTTTTTTTTTTTTTTTTTTTGAGACGTAGTCTCGCTCTGTCACCCAGGCTGGAGTGCAGTGTTGTGATCTCGGCTCACCGCAACCTCCACCAATCGTTCAAGCGATTCTCCTCCTCGGCCTCCCAAGTAGCTGGATTACAGGCACATGCCACCATGCCTGGGTAATTTTTGTAGAAACAGGGTTTCACCATGTTGGTCAGGCTGGTCTTGAACTCCTGACCTCAAGTAATCTGCCCGCCTCAGCCTCCCAAAATGCTGGAATTACAGGCATAAGCCACCGTGCTCGGCCAGAATTAAGTTCTAATGCCCTTTTTTTTTTTTTTTTTTGAGACGGAGTCTTACTCTATTGCCCAGGTTGGAGTGCAGTGGCGTGATCTCGGCTCACCGCAACCTCTGCCTCCCAGGTTCAGGCGATTCTCCTGACTCAGCCTCCCGAGTAGCTGGGATTGCAGGCATGTGCCACCACACCCAGCTAATTTTTGTATTTTTAGTAGAGACGGGATTTCACCATGTTGGTCAGGCTAGTCTCAAACTCCTGACCTTGTGATCTGCCCACCTCCGCCTCCCAAAGTGCTGGGATTACAGGCGTAAGCCACTGCACCCGGTCCAGGTGAAACATTTCAAACATGGCTCAGTAAATATTGCCTGATTCTCCCAAGCAGTCTTCAACACTCACATATCTTCCACTCTCTCCCTTGTTTATGATTCTCAGCTCCAGCCAAAAGGGCCAGTTGGTTTCTTAGCCATGCTATGTACATATTTGAATTTTTGCCTTCCAGGAAGAGCATCCATTCCTCTCTGCTTGTTTGAGTCCCACCCTTAAAGTTAGTCAAGTCCAGCTTTTCCCCTAGAGGTTATTCCCACTTTTAGGTTACGTCCTCACTTCTGTTCATGCTGTCTGGCACATAATTCAGCTTTTGGCACAAGTGGTGCTCAGTGCTTGGTGGTGGTGTTGACAATTGAGGCTGGGGGCCAAGACAGGAAGTTCTTGGGACATTTGGGCTCCTGGGTATTGTCTTAAGGGTCTCTTTTCCCAACAGAGGTCCCCCCTATTGGAAGTAAAGGGGAACATAGAACTGAAGAGACCTCTGATTAAGGCCCCTTCCCAGCTGCCTCTCTCAGGAAGCAGACTCAAGAGGAGGCCTGACCAGATGGAAGATGGCCTGGAGCCTGAGAAGGTGAGCTGGGCATGGAGAGCTGTGCATGTGTGTGGGGGGTGTGTGTGTGTGAAAGAAAGGAGAGAGAGAGTATAAACCATTAGGGAGGGTGACTATGGACCTTGTCTTTATCTTTCCCCAGAAACGGACAAGAGGCCTGGGTGCAACGACCAAAATTACCACATCCCACCCAAGAGTTCCATCCCTCACTACAGTGCCACAGACACAAGGCCAGACCACAGGTGGGCTCTCAGGATGGATAGACTCCAAGGACATGGAAGTCCAGTGCTCTTCAACTCACTTGTTTCTTTTCTTTCAATTTTATTTTATTTTTTTTTGAGACAGAGTCTCGCTCTATCGCCCAGGCTGGAGTGCAGTGGCTCAATCTCACTCACTGCAACCTCCTCCTCCCAGGTTCAAACGATTCTCCTACCTCAGCCTCCCGAGTAGCTGGGATTACAGGTGCCCACACCATGCCCAGCTAATTTTTGTATTTTTTTCAGTAGAGATGGGGTTTCGCCATGTTGGCCAGGCTGGTCTTGAACTCCTGACCTCAGGTGATCCACCCGCCTCTGCCTTCCAAAGTGCTGGGATTATAGGTGTGAGGCACCGCACCCAGCCTATTTTGAATAGGTAATAACATTTCATTTGGTTCAAAATTCCAAAGGCACAAAGGTTGTTGTATAGTGAAGTTTGCTTCCTATTTCTGTCCTCCAGCCACCCAATTCTGCTACCCAGGGCAACTGTGTGTTCTTCCAGGGAAATTCTATTGGTATTCAAGCAAGTAAGACTATACTCCCCCACCTTTTTTACATAAATGGTGGCATACTTTAGACATGGTCCTGCTTTTACTTATCTTAATCCAAATTGCTTTTTGGCATATGGAGTACAGTTGGCCCTCTGTATCCGTGGGTTCTGCTTCTGCAGATTCAACCAACCATCGGTTGAAAATATTCAAGGAGAGTGGGCACAGTGGCTCATGCCTGTAATCCCAGCACTTTGGGGGGCCAAGGTGTGTAGATTACCTGAGGTCCGGAGTTCCAGACCAGCCTGGCCAATATGGTTGAAACCCTGTCTCTACTAAAAATATAAAATTAGCCAGACGTGATGGCCCGTGCCTGTAATCCCAGCTACTCTGGAGGCTGAGGCAGGAGAATTGCTTAGAACCCAGGAGGTGGAGGTTGCAGTGAGCTGAGATTGTGCCAGCCTGGCGACAGAGCGAGACTCGGTCTCAAAAAAAAAAATGAGAAAATATTCATGGAAAATAAAAAATAAAACCAAAAAATACAGTATAACAGTTATGGTCATGTGTCACTTGGCAATGCAGATACATTATCAGAAATGCATTATTGTGGAAACATCATAGAATGTACTTACTGAAACCTAGATGATCTAGCCTGCTACACACCTAGGCTATCTGCGATAGCCTATTGTTCTTGGGCAACAAGCCTGTGTGGCGTGTTACTATACTGAAGCATGGTAGGTAACATAACAGTGGTAACCATTTGTGTATATAAACATACCTAAACATAGAAAAGGTACAGTTAAAATATAATATAAATGATAAAAAATGGCACACCTGTACAGGGTACTAACCATTAAATGGAGCATGTTTGAATGGAAGTTGCTCTGGGTGAGTTAGTGAGTGAGTGGTGAGTGAATGTGAAGGCCTAGGGCCTTACTGTACACTGCTGTAGACTTTAGAAACATGGTACAGTTAGGCTACATCAAATTTATAAAAAATAGTTCTTTTATAATAAATTAACCTTAGTTTACTATAACTATTTTACTTTATAAACTTAACATTTTTTTTCCCACTTGCCAAGGCTGATGTAACATTTTAATCTTTTTTTAACTTTTTTTTTTCGACCAGTTGTCAAATGATCCTTTATTGAAATATTTTCCTTTGTGCTTAACTAGCTGGGCATTCCACAGCACCACTGTTGATGTCATCTATGATGTCATGAGGGTGGTGGCCATCAACATTACAGCCCATAGACTGGGCAGTCCCCGGAATCTCTTTAATGGTTCCAGAGAGTTCTCTGGCTAAGGATCGGTGCCGCATCTGTCGAGCAATGTTGACGATCTCATCAAAAGTGATATTCCCATTGTGTTTAATGTTTTTCTGTTTCTTTCTGTCTCTTGGTGGTTTCTTGAGGGCTTTGATGATCGGGGCAGAGGCAGAAGGCACCACCTCAATCTGGGCCTGTCTGTTCTCAATGGTCAGTTTCACTGTAATCCTCAGGCCCTTCCAGTCACCCGTTGCCTTGGCAATGTCATCACCAACCTTTTTTGGTGACAGACCCAGGGGGCCGATCTTGGGGGCCAGGGCAGAAGTGGCACCGACTTCACCTCTGGTGCACCTCAGGTATACGACCTTGATCTCGTTGGGGTCGAACTTCGGTGGCATGGTGGAGGCAGCTGGTGTCGGATGAACCCAGATTCAGGATGACCGAAGAAAGTTGCACCTTGGCCTCCTCCGAGCCGAAAGCCGAGAGCTTCTCTCTCTTTTTTTTTTGAGATGGAGTCTCGCTCTGTCGCCCAGGCTGGAGTGCAGTGGCACAATCTCGGCTCACTGCAAGCTCCGCCTCCCGGGTTCCTGCCATTTTCCTGCCTCAGCCTTCCGCGTAGCTGGGACTACAGGCGCCCTCCACCACACTTGGCTAATTTTGTTTTTTTGTATTTTTAATAGAGACAGGGTTTCACCATGTTAGCCAGGATGGTCTCGATCTCCTGACCTCGTGATCTGCCTGCCTCAGCTTCCCAAAGTGTTGGGATTACAGGCGTGAGCCACTGCGCCCGGCTAACTTTTTGACTCTTGTAATAACAACTGAAAACACAAACATTGTATAGCTTTACAGAAATATTTTATTCCTTTATATCCTTATTCCTCATGCTTTTTTTCTATCTAAATTTTGTTTTGGGCGGGGAGCATATATTCAGGGCAATATGAATCTCTGTCTCCTGGCTTGAAAATAAAATTTTTGTTTTTTGTTTTTTGTTTTTGAGACAGAGTCTCGCTCTTTCGCCCAGGCTGGAGTGCAATGGCGTGATCTCGGCTCAGTGTAACCTCCGCCTCCTGGGTTCAAGTGATTCTCCTGCCTCAGCCTCCCGAGTAGCTGGGACTATAGGTGTGTGCCATCATACCCAGCTAATTTTTTGTATTTTTAGTAGAGATGGGGTTTCACCGTATTAGTCAGGATGGTCTCGATCTCCTGACCTCGTGATCCGCCCGCCTCAGCCTCCCAAAGTGCTGGGATTACAGACATGAGTTACTGCGCCCCGCCTGAAATTCTTTTTTTAATTTAAAATTTTATTTATTTGTATTTTTTCCAAGAAATAAGCTTAAATTTGAAAAATTTTAAATATTATTTTGCTTTTCAAACTTTTTGTTAAAAACGAAGAAATATACACATTAGCCTAGGCCTACATAGGGTCAGGATCATCAACATCACTGGCTTTCACCTCCACATCTTGTCTCACTGGAAGATCTTCAGGGGCAGTAACACACATGGAGATGTGACTTCCTGTGATAACAATGCTTTCTTCTGGATTGCCTTTTTTTTTTTTTTGAGACGGAGTCTCGCACTGTCGCCCAGGCTAGAGTGCAGTGGCATGATCTCGGCTCACTGCAAGCTCCGTCTCCTGGGTTCACACCATTCTCCTGCCTCAGCCTCCGGAGTAGCTGGGACTACAGGTGCCCGCCACCACGCCTGGTTAATTTTGTTTCTGTATTTTTAGGAGAGACGGGGTTTCACCGTGTTAGCCAGGATGGTCTCAATCTCCTGACCCCTTGATCTGCCCACCTCGGCCTCCCAAAGTGCTGGGATTACAGGCGTGAGCCACAGTGCCTGGCCTGGAATGCCTTTTGAATGACATGCCTGAGGCTGTTTTATAGTTAACTGTTTTTGCAAATAGAAGGAGTATACCCTAAAATAACAATAAAAAGTACAGTACGGTAAATATATAAACTAGTAACATAGTCATTATCATTATTAGGTATTATGTACTATATGTAATTATATGTGTTATACTTTTATACAACTGGCAGTGCATTAGGTTCGTTTATATCAGAATCACCACAAACAGGTGAGGAATGCTATGACATTACCATGGCTATAATGTCACTAGGCAATAGGAATTTTTAGCTCCATTATAATGTTACGGGGCTACTGTTGTATATGCAGTCTGTCATTGACCGAAATGTCATTATGGGCACATGACTGTATTAACATAGCATTTACATTGTGTTAGATATTATAAGTAATCTAAAGATGATTTAAAGTATATGCGGCTGGATGCGGTGGCTCACGCCTGTAATCCCAGCACTTTGGGAGGCTGAGGCAGGCAGATCACCTGAGGTCAGGAGTTTGAGACCAGCCTGGCCAACATGCTGAAAACCTGTCTCTACTAAAAATACAAAAAAAAAAAAATTAGCCAGGCGTGGTGGCGCTTGCCTGTAATCCCAGCTACTCAGGAGGCTGAGGCAGAAGAATTGCTTGAACCCTGGAGGTGGAGGTTGTAGTGAGCTGAGATCGCGCCATTGCATTCCAGCCTGGGTGAGAAGAGTGCAACTCCATCTCAAAAAAAAAACAAAATGGAGGCCAAGGCAGGCAGATCACCAGAGGTCAGGAGTTTGAGGCCAGCCTAATCAACATGGTGAAACCCCGTCTTTACTAAAAATACAAAATTAGTTGGGCGTGGTGGCGCATACCTATAATCCCAGCTACTCGGGAGGCTGAGGCGGGAGAATCGCTTGAACCCTGGAGGTAGAGTTTGCTGTGAGCTGAGATCATGCCATTGCACTTCAGCCTGGACAACAAGTGAAACTCTGTCTCAGTCAATCAATAAATAAAGTATATGGGAGCGTGTGCATAGACTATATTTAATACTATATACCTATTTATGTAAGGGACTTGGGCATCCTTGGATTTTGGTATTCTTGGGGGGTGCTGGAATCAACCCCTTTTGGATACTGAGGGATGACTGTAATTTCTGGTTCTAGGGGAGGTATCATTAGGAGCTGGCCAGACTTAGGGATAAGGGAAGGAAGTTATCCTATTTCTAATTCTGAGAAAAGCACTTCTTCTGCCCCTGTCCTAGCAAGTGTACATGCCATCTTAAGAATGATCATTCTACCTTTGCTCTCTCCCATCTCCTGGGCAGCTCAAAAAGTTTCCAAGAAGACAGGACCCCGGTGTTCCACAGCTATTGCCACAGGTAACTGTGCTCAAGAGCTGGGTCTGAGAAGGGATTTGGGGTATGTGTAAAGGGAGAATGATGGAGGTGGAGGGACACTGGTCCTGTAATTCCTAAGTCACCTCCTCAATTCTGTAGGGTTGAAGAACCAGAAGCCAGTTCCTGCTGTTCCTGTCCAGAAGTCTGGCAGTAAGTGACAAACATAACCACTGGGTGAGAGGCTGGGATAGGGAAGAGAAGATGGTGAGTGACCAGAAAAATCCATTTGGTCTCTAAGGGGAAGGAGATGTAGCATCAGGTGTGGATCCCATAAAGGCTAGAAGGGAGGAGGGATAGAGAGCCTAGACTTCACTGACCTTTGTCCTTTCTGTGTTCATCTTAGCATCAGGTGTTCCTCCCATGGCAGGAGGGAAGAAACCCAGCAAACGTCCAGCCTGGGACTTAAAGGGTCAGTTATGTGACCTAAATGCAGAACTAAAACGGTGCCGTGAGAGGACTCAAACGTTGGACCAAGAGAACCAGCAGCTTCAGGACCAGCTCAGAGATGCCCAGCAGCAGGTCAAGGCCCTGGGGACAGAGCGCACAACACTGGAGGGGCATTTAGCCAAGGTACAGGCCCAGGCTGAGCAGGGCCAACAGGAGCTGAAGAACTTGCGTGCTTGTGTCCTGGAGCTGGAAGAGCGGCTGAGCACGCAGGAGGGCTTGGTGCAAGAGCTTCAGAAAAAACAGGTGGAATTGCAGGAAGAACGGAGGGGACTGATGTCCCAACTAGAGGAGAAGGAGGTAAGGGCCAGATTTTCACCAGATGTCAGCCCCGCTTTCCTGGCAGAGGTCATGCCTCCCCTCCCTTCCAGGTACCCCTCAAGTCTGGGCTGAGAACTCCTGAGCACCTATCTTTAGCAGTATAGGTGCTGCTGAAGATACCTCTCTCTTGACCTGTCTGCACCCCAGCCCACTCCTGACTGTCTTGCTTTCTGCCACGCTTCTTCCTACCCTTGACTGTTTGCAAAGCTCTCATTTAGATCTGTGTCTTTCTTAGTCCTCCATCCCTCTTTCTTTGGGTTCCCATCCTGATCACAAATTCCTGTGGTACTCTCTTTCCCTCCTCCCATGTCCACTTGACTCCTTCCTGGTGAGCACCAACTAGATTAAGTTATTTGCAGTCTCTTAAATGACTCAACTTTCACTTCTGGGCATTCTGCATATGTGCTTCCCTCTTTCTGGAATGTTCTTTGTATACTACATCCTTCCTTGGTTCACTCCTGTACTTCTGGGTGTCACCCTAGATATCATCTTCCTTGTGCTCCTCTTTGTGCTTGGACATACCCATAGCACTCCCTGTCTTAGTACCATGATTCCTTATTTTCTCATCTTTCTTTGTTTACCAGACTTTGAGGTCCTTTTGAGCAGGGACCTCACTTCCACCCACTCCATACGCCCCACAGTTTGTTCTTCTTCTTGGTTGCATCTTACCCTCTGTGTATGTTGTGTTCTCTTCTGGGCAGAGGAGGCTGCAGACATCAGAAGCAGCCCTGTCAAGCAGCCAAGCAGAGGTGGCATCTCTGCGGCAGGAGACTGTGGCCCAGGCAGCCTTACTGACTGAGCGGGAAGAACGTCTTCATGGGCTAGAAATGGAGCGCCGGCGACTGCACAACCAGCTGCAGGAACTCAAGGGCAACATCCGTGTATTCTGCCGGGTCCGCCCTGTCCTGCCGGGGGAGCCCACTCCACCCCCTGGCCTCCTCCTGTTTCCCTCTGGCCCTGGTGGGCCCTCTGATCCTCCAACCCGCCTTAGCCTCTCCCGGTCTGACGAGCGGCGTGGGACCCTGAGTGGGGCACCAGCTCCCCCAACTCGCCATGATTTTTCCTTTGACCGGGTATTCCCACCAGGAAGTGGACAGGATGAAGTGTTTGAAGAGATTGCCATGCTTGTCCAGTCAGCCCTGGATGGCTATCCAGTATGCATCTTTGCCTATGGCCAGACAGGCAGTGGCAAGACCTTCACAATGGAGGGTGGGCCTGGGGGAGACCCCCAGTTGGAGGGGCTGATCCCTCGGGCCCTGCGGCACCTCTTCTCTGTGGCTCAGGAGCTGAGTGGTCAGGGCTGGACCTACAGCTTTGTAGCAAGCTACGTAGAGATCTACAATGAGACTGTCCGGGACCTGCTGGCCACTGGAACCCGGAAGGGTCAAGGGGGCGAGTGTGAGATTCGCCGTGCAGGGCCAGGGAGTGAGGAGCTCACTGTCACCAATGCTCGATATGTCCCTGTCTCCTGTGAGAAAGAAGTGAGGACCCATGGGTACTGGAACTGGGAAATGGGGAGGAGTGGGCAGGGTGCCACGAGATGGAGGTAGAGGGAGAAAGGAGCAAGAGAGAATTGAAGGATGAAGTGCAAGTTATCAGGCTGGGTTACCACATCCGGTTTTGGCCTGTGGGCTGTCGGTAGATCTGCCTTAACCTGGGAGTGGCGAGGGAGTGATGCATCTGCCAAAACGAGGAGGGTCACTACATCTCATGTCTCATCTCCTTGCTCAGCTCATCCTAGCCATGCTGGCCTCCTGGCTGTTCCTCAACCAGCTAGTCGTGCTCCCCATCTCAGGGCCTTTGCCTGGATGCTCTTTCCTGGAGATCTTGGCTATCCTGTCAAAACTTGTGTTCCCCACCCCGCCTTTATACACTCCCTATTCTATGTATTCCTTACCATTTTCAGACATACTGTGCATCTTATTTTGTTTCTTGACAGGCTAGAAAGCTTCAAGAGGGTGGGGGTGGGCTCTTATTCATTTCCATACATATTACTATGTACTGACTTCTGCCTGCCTTTTTGCCCCTTCTGCTCCCATCCCCAGGTGGACGCCCTGCTTCATCTGGCCCGCCAGAATCGGGCTGTGGCCCGCACAGCCCAGAATGAACGGTCATCACGCAGCCACAGTGTATTCCAGCTACAGATTTCTGGGGAGCACTCCAGCCGAGGCCTGCAGTGTGGGGCCCCCCTCAGTCTTGTGGACCTGGCCGGGAGTGAGCGACTTGACCCCGGCTTAGCCCTCGGCCCCGGGGAGCGGGAACGCCTTCGGGAAACACAGGCCATTAACAGCAGCCTGTCCACGCTGGGGCTGGTTATCATGGCCCTGAGCAACAAGGTGGGAATGGGAGTGGGGTGAGATACGGGACCTGGGGGACAGTTGGGGTTGGCTGTGCAGAACCCTGCCTATTCCTAAACATCTGTCCCCACCTCAATCATCTAGGAGTCCCACGTGCCTTACCGGAACAGCAAACTGACCTACCTGCTGCAGAACTCTCTGGGTGGTAGTGCTAAGATGTGAGTGAAAGGGACAGATGGAAGGGGTCAGGTAGGAACTGTGTTGGGGTGAGGGGTAGAAAGGGGAACAGTGGAGACCTGTCCAGGCTCTGCTGGCCCCTAATGCTGGGGTTGGGCACATTGTCTTTTCATAGGCTCATGTTTGTGAACATTTCTCCACTGGAAGAGAACGTCTCCGAGTCCCTCAACTCTCTACGCTTTGCCTCCAAGGTGCGATTACCACCCGTCAGCCTTGTCAGGACCCGTGGGTGGTTGTAGGCTTCTCCATTCCAATCCCTTTTGTCTTCTAGGGCAGGGAGCACATTTGTGCAGAAAGGTTTTGCAGGTATCTGAGGCACTGCTCACCTGGTTCCATTTTTAATTATTAGCTTTTGAGTTAAATTTTTTAAAAAACGGGTGATTAATTTAACCTGAGAAAGCTGATTAAAAAAAAAAGAAAAGGTGACTAAAAGGTCTAAACTGGTTGGGCGCAGTAGCTCATGCCTATAATCCGAACACTTCGGGAGGCCAAGGCAGGAGGATTGCTTGAGCCCAGGAGTTTAAAATCAGTCTGGGCAACATAGTGAGACCCTGTCTCTACAAAAAATAGGAAAATTAGCTGGGTGTAATGGCTCACACCTGTAGTTCCAGCTACTCAGGAGGCTGAGGTGGGAGGATCACCTGAACCTGGGAGGTGGAGGCTGCAGTGAGCCGTGATCCTACCACTGCACTTCAGCCTGGGTGACAGAGTAAGACCTTGTCTCAAAAAACCAACACACAAAAAATCCCTAAGATTCCTCCCTATCAGCATACAGAGATCATTATTTTTAGGTCTGCCTAGACTCCACTATGTAGCTGCACCAAAATTTATCCACCAGTTCCCTCTACTGGACACTTGGATTGTTTCCACACTTTTTTAGTCACAAACAAGGCCACGTTGACTAACTTTGTACATACATCATTTTGTATTTTTCAGTTACATCTAACTAGGGAAATAGTCCTTGAAATGGGATTACTGGATCAAAGACTTAGAGGTTTTTCAGACTATTCCAAATAGTGTGAATTCAGACTCCAAACCTCATGAGGGTCAGCCAGTGGCTATATGAATTCTCACTAATGAGAATTCCTTCCACTAGAATCTCCTTCCACTAGTGTTAAGCAAGTCAGAAAGTTTCCTTACTGTCTGCCTCCACAGTAATTTTTTTCTCTGGTACACCCTCCTCCTGCGCGTATAGCCCTTTGATGGGCTCTGGCTTTATTTGAGGTCTGATCAGGTCTGTCCTGCTGTGCGCTTGGGCCTCCTCCCAGTCAGCACTGATTGTTGCTGTGGAGTAGCCAGCACCTGCACCCTGATCTGGTATTCTACTTTGATGAGGGTTTCCCTCACTATCTTGCAAGTTCAATTTTAGAGGGTGGTGATGTTTTTTCTAACTTTTTATTAATGTTATACCAATGTAACATCCAACAACATGAACTTTAATATCCTCTAATACCCAGTTTATGTTAAATTTCACCCAACTGTCTCAGAAGTGTCTTTTATACATAATAGGTTTGTTCAAATCAGGATCCAGGCAAGGGCCACCCACTTGGTTGAAATGTCTCAAGTTCCACAACCCTATCCCACACTGCCACTATTATGTCGTTTGTTGAAGGTCATTTGTCCTATAGAATATACTATTCTGGATTTTGGCTGGTTGCTTCCTCTTTCCCCCATACTTTCACTTATTTATCATATTTGGGTGTTGTCAACCTGACCCATCCATTTACAAGCTCCTTATTGACTTTTTCACCTAGTGATTTTATCCAGCAGTGACCATACCTGGATCTTTATTTCATTAAGGGGTTTCTAAATGGGGATTTTTCTAATCTTAGTTGTTCTGCATTGGTTAGTCACGATTCTTTTATGAAGACATTTGCCTTGCCATCTACTTGGTTTCTCTGAAATTCAATTCATACAGGAAAAACAAGATAAATGCTGAATTATTTATTGATTTTCAGTATTGAGTTGATATCCTAGCAGCTTCCAAAGGTGACCAATGAATGTTTATCTGAGGGTTATTTTTATTTTTATTTTTTTTGAGACAGGGACTTGCTCTGTTGCCCAGACTGGAATTCAGTGGCTCAATCATAGCTCATTGTAGCCACCAAAAGTGTTGGGATTATAGGCGTGAGCCACCCAGCCCGGCCACAGTCGTTCTTCTTTCTGATGCTCAAATTGCCCCATCTTTAGCCAATAGGAACCTCCTGGCCGGGCGCGGTGGCTCATGCCTGTAACCCCAGCACTTTGGGAGGCCGAGGTGGGTGGATCACGAGGTCAGGAGATCGAGACCATCCTAACACGGTGAAACCCCGTCTCTACTAAAAATACAAAAAATTCACCGGGCGTGGTGGCGGGCGCCTGTAGTCTCAGCTACTTTGGGAGTCTGAGGCAGAATGGCTTGAACCCGGGAGGTGGAGCTTGCAGTGAGCCGAGATCGCGCCACTGCACTCCAGCCTGGGCGACAGAGCAAGACTCCGTCTCAACAACAACAACAAAAAAAAGAGCCTCCTTCAGATTGGTGCCAGTGTCCTTTAGACAGAACTCTAGTAGTCTTTTCAGATTCAACTTGTACATTTCCTTCCCCAGACTTCAACTGATCCATTTTCTAAGGAGTCCTAGTTCCTAAATGGGTGTTATTACTATTTTATCTCGGTTTAAGTGTTTTACAGTGGGAGAGGTTGGAGGTCTCTAGTACAGGGTATTGCTGGAAATGAAAGCCTCCTTTCTCTGCTCCTGTATTTTCTTCTGGGGCTTCCATCTCTTCTCAAGCCTTTTCACCTCCTCCAAACCTAGTGTGCAGAGGAGAACAAACCATAACTGGCACCAGCCTGAACCAGCCTTTGGAGGCCTTATTTCGGTATTTCTGAGGGCAGCCCTAGCATTGGAGGATGGGAGATCTTGGGAAAAATGTTGTATTGGTTACGCTGCAAACTTTTATCCTGTCTAACCCCCTGCCCCCAGGTGAACCAGTGTGTTATTGGTACTGCTCAGGCCAACAGGAAGTGAAGACGGATCCAGATCTGTGTGTGTGTGTGTGTGTGTGTGTGTGTGTGTGTGTCCCTATGTCTATGTATCGGGTGAGGGGTGGGAGGGTTGCTGGAGGGTGCTTTATTGGGTGGAGGGCACCATGTCCCAGGGCTATCAAATAAAGAATAGTTTGGTTTTTTTTTTAAATAAAGGTTTTATTAGCATTTGCCCAAGAAGGCAGATACTTTCATATCTGTAAAAGTGGGAGCTGTGATCTGTACCCTCTGCCAAACGTTTACGTGGGAGGCGGGAGCGGGGGCTGAGGGCTTCGTCTTTTCTCCCCTCTGCTATCACCGGTTCTGGACCTTGGCCTGGATCATCTTCCCCTCTGCTAATACCCCCTACCCCGTCCGTCACATCAGGGAGGTGTGCCCTCTAGCTATCCACGCCCCCTCCTTGGTCACTAGTTATAGGTAACTTTCACCCTTCCGCCGGCCACCCCAGCCCCAGGGAAGAACGTTCCTTTGGTGGGTGTCGGCAAATGGGGACCGGACCCCAGAGTCCAGAGGCGGGGCTAGCGCGCGCTCCCAAACTGTTGGCTCTTTCCTCCCGTCCCGCCCTTTCCCTGCCTTTCCGTTCGAACGGCTGGGGCTCTGCCCGCTCGCTGCCCATTGGCTGGCTCTCGGTGGCGTCACCGCCTTGGGTCCTCGCGCCCTTCGTCTGCGCCAGCCCTGGAAGCACGGGGCGGGACGTCCACGGGAAGCGGCGCGCACGCCCGCCGACTCCCTCGCGCCAACCGCCGACGGCCGCCGCCCGGTGAAGGAGGGGCTCAGTCCTCCCAGGTGCCGCGCGCAGGAGGGGACACGCGTGCGCAAAAGGGCGGTGGGTGGGGCGCGACTCGTCACGGGGAGGGCGGGGCTGGGGCTAACAGCGAGTGGAGGGCGGGGCGCGCGAGGGAGGAGGGCGTGGTGGGGGCATCGAGAAGGGTGAATGGAGGGCGGGGCTGTGAACTGGGGCCGGGGGGCGGGACTTGGAGTGACCATGGGGGGTGGGGCAGCTAACGGATGTGGCATGGGGCGGGGGACCAGGCCGGAGGCGGGCTGCCGGGAGGGGGGATTCCCTCGTGCCCCAAGGGCGAATCTCAGGTCGGAGGAAGGGGCTGAGGGGATTCCCTCTCCCACCGGGTCCGACTCTTCGCTCCCCAAGCCGCGGAGGGCCAGCCTCTTCTTCGGCGCCCTCCAGGCCTGTTGGAGGTGAGGGAGGTGGGGTGAGGTGGTGCCCGCCCCCCCCTCCGGCTCCTCCTTTCCCCCAGTCCTCCCCTCCCACCACCCTCCCCCCCAACCGGTCCGTCCCTCCCCTCCCTCCCTCCCCCCCGCCGCCTCCTCCTCCTGCCGCTGCCGCTGCTTTGGCTGCTGCGTCATACGCCCCAGAGCCGCCGGGACGGAGGGGCTGGGCCTGGGGACCCCCCGGCCTCCGCCTGCACGCCCCCCCACGCCCGGACGTGCCCTCTCCGCGCGGGGGACTCGCCTAGGTCTCCTACGTCTGCCCCTGCCCGGCTCCCGGCGGCCCCAGCTGTCACCGGTAAGGAGGCGGCAGGAGGCGCTGGTGGGGGGCAGGGAGCCGGGGGTCGGCGCGGGGCGCGGGCGGGAGAGCCTCGCCGCCTTGGCCTCGGGTCCGGGCTGGGCCGACACAAGTCCCTTCTCGGACTTGCCGTCCTGGGGAGTAGAGACCGGGACTGGGACACGCCCCCCTCCCGGGGCACTCAGAGAAGTTGTCTAACCCGGGGGCAGGGAGCCCCGAATTTGAGGGTGACCTGACATAACCTGGCACCAGGATGATTGTTCTTAATGAGACGCGCAGGCCTGGGGAGACAGCCGTTTCTGCTCTGGAAAACATCTCCAGAAAAGGTCCCAAAACACGTCTCTGGGCAACAGGACACCCTAATTATGATACCTCTAAACTGAGTAGCCTTTGCTTCTACAACCATAATTTCTCCTAAAATTTCAAGGCCAGTATATAATATCCCAGGAGAGCTCTGGAAGCTGGGAAACTAGCAACTAGGTTTGGGGTCGGGGGGAGGGCTGTTAGTTACCGAGAGGAGAGCCAGTCACTAGAGTTGGAAGAGGACTCAAAAAGCTGGTGATGGGTGCCCAGTGGTTTCCTATCAAGGTGTCTCAGGGATTTGGAGATGGGGGCACAGATACTTCATTCTTGATGGCAAAATAGGCAAAGAAAATGGGGAGGCTGGCCGGGCCCGGTGGCTCACGCCTGTAATCCCAGCACTTTGGGAAGCTGAGGTGGGTGGATCATGAGGTCAGGAGTTCGAGACCAGTTTGGCC